>NC_000012.12:46399521-46551037 GCF_000001405.40 Homo sapiens | reverse complement strand
ACTTCTATTTTGTCAACGTATAACTAGGTTTAAAGGGCTTAGAGCACAGAAACCTAGTGACTAGGTTTCAATTTGAAGAGAAAAATTATTTAGAATGAAATGCAGTCAGCCACTGCATTGAACGATTGACAGTCCACTGAGGGAGACCTCCATCTTTTAACAGAAGACCTAGGAAGTGATACAAAATTTAAAAAAAGTTCCCATCTTTAGAGGAGCTTATCAATTGTCTGGGAACTGCCCATGAAATCGTCACAAAAATTTTCAAAGCAGTAAACCATAAAAAACAAGTGCATATGGCTTAATTAAACTTGGTAACGAATCACAGCCAGTATTTGTCAAATGTCAGGTACTGTATGATGTGCTTTACATACATTTCATCCCCGTTTCACGGGTGAACAAATTGATGCTCCAAGGGGCTTATGTACCTTGCCCAAGGTTACACATATGCTGGCTACAAATTCTACTCTCTCCCTCTCTCTACTATCACTCACTACCCATAAAAAATGTACTATCATTACTAAAAATGAAGGTAGTATAGTGGTGTGGAAAGTTACAAAATATTGTTAAATGACAAAAATCATACAAGTTGTATACATCACAACCATGAAAAGTTTATATGCAGGTAGGAGAGACTTGGAAGGAAACAGAGAAGTTCAAGAAGTTGTGTTAGGGTGGTAGGATTATGGAGGACACTTAGAAAGTTCTTTTATCTTGTTGCAAAATTAGGTAAAGTGTATTTAAATTAGATAGAAAGGTGTTGAAATCCATCAGGGAAGACTTCCTGGATAAAGGCACTTTTCATCACCGTTTCAGAAGGAAGGAGGGTTTCATGCTGGCCTTGAGGAGAAAGAAGTCATCAGAGCAGTGACAAGACAGTTAATTCAGCATTTCAAAGTATGCACAATAGTCACCTCCTTATTCTCAGTTTCAGTTACCCAGGATCAACTGCAGTGTGAAAATAGTAAATGGAAAATGTATAAACAATTCATAAGTTTTAAATTGCACGCCATTCTGAGTAGTGTGATGAAATCTTGTGTCATCCCATTCCACCCCTCCCAGGAAATGAATCATCCCTTTGTCCAGTACGCTGGTGCTGTACGGTACGTATGTACAGGAAAAAGCATAGCATATATAGGGTTCGGTACTAACTGCAGTTTCGGGCATCCACTGGGGGCCTTGGAACATATCTTCATGGTACCAGAGAAATTCATGTTAAACAAGTCTGCCATAACACAAAGATAGTTGTCAGGAAGGGTAAGCTGAGATGTCTGAATTTTACAAGTTAGAAAATGAGGAGTAACATGATGAAAGGATGTGAGAAAGTTTATTCTAACTGCTGTGTGGAGGATGGTTGAGAGGAAAGAGAGAACAGAACAGGGAGACCACAAGAAGACAGTGAAATGACAATGAGAAAGACATTTGGATGTGGTGTGAGCTGAGCATTGGAGCACAGCTATCTCAACTACCCCACAAATAGTCTCAGATAAATGCACCCACTGCTCAAAATTCCCACCCCCCACCTCCTTTTTTTTTTCTTCTTCTTTTTTTTTTTTCGAGATAGAGCCTCACACTGTCACCCGGGCTGGAGTGCAATGGTGCGATCTCGGCTCACCGCAACCTCTGCCTCCTGGGTTCAAGCGATTCTCCTGCCTCAGCCTCCCAAGTAACTGGGATTACAGGCACACACCACAACACCCGGCTAATTTTGTGTATTTTTAGTAGAGATGGGTTTTCACTATGTTGGCCAGACTGGTCTCGAACTCCTGACCTCGTGATCTGCCCAGCTTGGGCTCCCTAAGTGCTGGGATTACAGGCGTGAGCCACCGTACCCGGCCAAAATTCCCCTTCTTTAAAGTGAGGGTAGGGAACCTACAACCTTGGTAATCCCATGAGACTGTTACCACATTACACCAAGGTTGTCATAGGCATAAAGCTCTACAGGTACACAAATAATATGAAGAGAGAATACTCAAAGTATTTAAGTGTTGCCTTCCCTCTGCTCTTGAGGAACCCAGGAAGATTTTGAATGAGTCTTATATGAGTGGGTATGCATGCCACACCTATTAAACAGACAAACAATATAGTTAAAGTGAAATGCTCTGACTTGCATTTCATCAGTCATCAGCAGATAGAGCAGAGCTATAAGTTTGTCTACCTAGGATGGTGGGCAAATTGTTAAGAGGTAAATATATAAAAAACAGCTGCTATTTTAGAACCACACAACATAAGGGCTTTGCACATTCCCTTTTGTGTGACTTCAGACCATGGAATAAGCACATACTTTAGGAAGACGTGCTCTTGTTCTAATTATGGAAATGACTGAACTGATCAAATTACTGGCAGCATATCCTGCGTTACACCAAAGAAACAATTCCAACAAAGGGCTTTGATTTGATGATTGAAAATTGCCAGCCATTTCTGTGGGACTTTGAAGAAACGGAAAGCTCAACTGATGAGAAAAGCATAAACAAGGGCAGTGGAAGGTCGTTTAGCCTTTATTACCACTGTGGTGGTGGTTGTTTTAGCTTTAGTTACCACTGCCTAATTCAAAGAAAAATAACTATTAAGAAAAGGAGTTATATTAAGTCTCTGTAAACTTTGAAGAGAAATCCTGATTTTTTTTCTGATGATTCTTCTTATAGTTGGATGTTCAATTTGTATCATATTTACTAGATTTTAAAACAAGTACTTTTCCCAATTAAAAAGATTGAGAAAGAGGGACAAGGGAAAAAAAATGGCCTAATGCTGATTCTGATTGGCTCATTTCCTGTGTCCCATTTCCTGCAAATAACAACAAAAGATTCACTCTTTGCCTAGATTGGAGAATGAGAGGCAACTTGCCTGTGGGTGTTTGGTTGAGGGAGGTGGTTAGTAAAGCAACAACAGAAGGCAACCCCTCAATCATTCTTGAAGGAGAAATGCTTGGTATTTTTTCAAGGAAATAGAATCAGACTTCTGGGAGTGCCTAGGGGCATGAAATAGAGAATTCAGTAGCCCAATAAATATAGTACACATTCTTGTCATTTCATGTTCTAGACAAGGTAATTAAAATATGCATAAGATTTTCTGCTCCCCAGTTATTTTTACTTCCAGGTAGATTGAACAGTCAGCTGATTCACCTTCTTGGGCAATGCCCATTCATTCTTGACACTCTCCTATTCCCCATCCTGTCCATAATCCCTCCTCACACACAAGCACATGCCAATAGGTGAGATAGCAAAAGTAATAATATGTCCATTTAGCACTAGTATGCCTTTAGAGATGTTGAATTTTCTGTGGCAGATCTACAAACTATCCAGTTTTTCCCAAAGGGGTAGCTTCTGTCAAGTGCAGAAGGACACCAAGAAGTCACATCTCTGAATATCTTTTTCTTTTTGCCCTTTCTGGCTGGCCTATATGACAAAGAATGATGAAATATTCATAAATTACATTTCTATTTGCCCGTACTTTACTGAGAAACCTGTACTGACTTGCATAAAAATGGCATACTGGTTAACCCTCATCAGTTAGTTTGTATATTCCTGCCTTCTCAGGCCAGCCTTCTTCATCTCTCTGCTGACAGAAATTTCATTCCTTCCCTGCCCTACTCTCAAAATGTGTTCTCAAGATAGAACCCAAAAGACTGATTCTTCTTCAGGGAAGAAATAATTAATGAAGCTTTAAGTGGGTTCTTCTTTAGTATAAAGTGCTTCATTTTGAAAGGGGAGGAATGAATTTATAATTGTAGAATTTCAGATTTAAAAAAAAAATTAAAAAGCTGAATTTGGTGGAAAGGTCCTCTTGGTGCCTCTGAAATCATGCCCTCCTTACCCAAGAGGTCACATTCCTTCTGGAGTTGACGCAGGTGCCAAATACCCCAAGAACTGACAGCAGTTCATCACTTGTATTTCATTTGCATCTGCTCCACTGATACTTACTTACTGGTTGTGTGGGCGTGTGTTTATTTGCTGTGAGTTCAGCAGTTAGAGGAAGCTTATGTGGTTAATGTGCTTAGCCATGAGATGAGATGTAAGCTGCCTGTCCACCTCTATGGAGCCCTGAGCTTCCTTGCCTGTGGCTTCAGACACTGGGTCCCTTTCTCTGTTGGCATTCCCACTAAAGCTAGAAACTCTGACCTGAAGAACCCTGCTCCTTTATATCTCCTTTATCAGCAACTACTCTGGAGGGGGCAGGAGAGAAACACCATGAGGTCAACAGGATGCTTGTAAAGGGTACCTTCTAGGCTCCCTCTTCCACCTCCCACCCTGCCAATTCCTCCAGATAAGAAGGAAGCACTGCTGCTCCCATGCATTTTCATGCAAGCAAAACCCAAAATAGTTGGATAGTAGAACACATAATACTATGTGATCACCATCTCCTCCTTTCCCTCTCCAAACCTTCTCTTCCTGTGGTGCTCAACACAGGAAGAGCCTGTGTGTGTCACAGTAATTGTTGACATGGGCTTGGGAGCCTACCTGGGTACAAATCTCAACACCACCACTTACTCCATCTGAGACACTAGGCAGACTTCCTAATTGCTCTGAGCTTCACCTTCTTCATCTATAAAATGGAGAAAATAACTATTTTGCAGATTGATATGAGGATGAAATAAAATAATGCATGCAAAGCACTTAGCAGTACGCCAGGTACATAATGAGCACTCAATAAATGGTACCTATTATTAATGGAGCCACCATATATCTAGTTACTCAAAATTGTCACCTACCTTAGACATCATTCCTCCTTTTTTTCCCCATAGTCAATCTGATCTTAAGTCCAGTGAATTCTACCACCTAAACACAGCTGAACTCATTTCCTCCTCTCTCTCACTGCCTTAATAGCTCAGGCCCATATATTTCCCTCCCTGAACTACCATTATAACCTTTAAACTCTACTGGTATATCCAACCTCTTCCTATTCCACTATTCTGCACATTTCCCAAATGTGAATTTTCAAAAATAGAAATGTGCTCCTGACACTCAGTTAAGATCTCTCGATGTGGTTCCAAGATGGCTGAATAGGAACAGCTCCAGTCTACAGCTCCCAGCATGAGCGACGCAGAAGACGGGTGATTTCTGCATTTCCAACTGAAGTACCAGGTTCATCTCACTGGGCCTTGTCAGACAGTGGGTGCAGCCCACCGAGTGTGAGCCGAAGCACAGCAAGGCATCACCTCACCTGGGAAGCGCAAGGGGTCAGGGACTTCCCTGTCCCAGCCAAAGGAAGCTGTGACAGACGGCACCTGGAAAATTGGGTCACTCCCACCCTAGTACTGCGCTTTTCCAATGGTCTTAGCAAATGACACACCAGGAGATTATATCCCGCGCATGGCTTGGAGGGTCCCATGCCCACAGAGCCTTGCTCATTGCTAGGACAGCAGTCTGAGATCAAACTGCAAAGCAGCAGTGAGGCTGGGGGAGGAGCGCCCACCATTGCTGAGGCTTGAGTAGGTAAACAAAGCAGCCGGGAAGCTCAAACTGGGTGGAGCCCACCACAGCTCAAGGAGGCCTGCCTGACTCTGTAGACTCCACCTCTGGGGACAGGGCATAGCCAAACAAAAGGCAGCAGAAACCTCTGCAAACTGAAATAATCCTGTCTATCAGCTTTGAGGAGAGTAGTGTTGCTCCCAGCATGGAGTTTGAGATCTGAGAACCGACAGACTGCCTCCTCAACTGGGTCCCTGAACCCTGAGTAACCTAACTTGGAGGCACTCCCAAGTAGGGGCAGACTGACACCTCATACGGCCAGGTACCCCTCTGAGACAAAGTTTCCAAAGGAACTATCATGCAGCAACATTTGCTGTTCAGCAATATTCACTGTTCTGCAGGCTCCGCTGCTGATACCCAGGCAAACAGGGTCTGGAAAGGACCTCCAGCAAACTCCAACAGACCTGCAGCTGAGGGTCCTGAATGTTAGAAGGAAAACTAACAAACAGAAAGGACATTCACACCAAAACCCCATCTGTACATCACCATCATCAAAGACCAAAGGTAGATAAAACCACAAAGATGGGGAAAAAACAGCAGAAAAGCTGAAAATTCTAAAAATCAGAGCACCTCTCCCCCTCCAAAGGAACGCAGCTCTACGCCAGCAGTGGAACAAAGCTGGATGGAGAATGACGAGTTGAGAGAAGGCTTCAGACGATCAAACTTCTCCGAGCTAAAAGAGGAAGTTCGAACCCAACACAAAGAAGCTAAAAACCTTTAAAAAAGATTAGACGAATGGCTAACTAGAAAAACCAGTGTAAAGAACTCCTTAAATTACCTGATGGAGCTGAAAACCATGGCACGAAAACCACATGATGAATGCACGAGCTTCAGTAGCCGATTTGATCAAGTGGAAGAAAGGATATCAGTGACTGAAGATCAAATGAATGAAATGAAGTGAGAAGAGAAGTTTAGAGGAAAAAGAATCAAAAGAAATGAACAAAGCCTCCAAGAAATATGACACTACGTGAAAAGACCAAATCTACATCTGACTGGTGTACCTGAAAGTGACAGGGAGAATGGAACCAAGTTGGAAAACACTCTGCAGGATGTTATCCAGGAAAACTTCCCCAACCTCACAAGGCAGGCCAACATTCAAATTCAGGAAATACAGAGAATGCCACAGAGATACTCCTCGAGAAGAGCAACTCCAAGACACATAATTGTCAGATTCACCAAAGTTGAAATGAAGGAAAAAATGTTAAGGGAAGCCAGAGAGAAAGGTCGGGTTACCCTCAAAGGGAAGCCCATCAGACTAACAGCTGATCTCTCGGCAGAAACTCTACAGGCCAGAAGAGAGTGGGGGCCAATAATCAACATGCTTAAAGAAAAGAATTTTCAACCCAGAATTTCATATCCAGCCAAACTAAGCTTCATAAGTGAAGGGGAAATAAAATCCTTTACAGACAAGCAAATGCTGAGAGATTTTTGTCACCACCAGGCCTACCCTAGAAGAGCTCCTGAAGGAAGCACTAAACATGGAAAGGAACAACCGGTACCAGCCACTGCAAAAACATGCCAAATTGTAAAGACCATCGATGCTAGGAAGAAACAGCATCAATTAACGAGGAAAATAACCAGCTAACATCATAATGACAGGATCAAATTCACACATGACAATACTAACCTTAAATGTAAATGGGCTAAATGCTCCTATTAAAAGACACAGACTGGCAAATTGGATAAAGAGTCAAGACCCATCAGTGTGCTTTATTCAGGAGACTCATCTCATGTGCAGAGACACACATAGGCTCAAAATAAAGAGATGGAGAAAGATCCACCAAGTAAATGGAAAACAAAAAAAAAGCAAGGGTTGCAATCCTAGTCTCTGATAAAACAAACTTTAAACCAACAAAGATCAAAAGAGACAAAGAAGGCCTTTACATAATGGTAAAGGGATCAATTCAACAAGAAAAGCTAACTATCCTAAATATATATGCACTCAATACAGGAGCATCCGGATTCATAAAGCAAGTCCTTAGAGACCTACAAAGAGACTTAGACTCCCAAACAATAATAATGGGAGACTTTAACACCCTACTGTCAACATTAGACAGATCAACGAGACAAAGTTAAAAAGGATATACAGGGAACTCAGCTCTGCACCAAGTGGACCTAATAGACATCTACAGAACTCTCCACCCCAAATCAACAGAATCTATTGATTTTTCTCAGCACCACATCGCACTTATTCCAAAACTGACCACATAGTTGGAAGTAAAGCACTCCTCAGCAAATGTAAAAGATCAGAAATTATAACAAACTGTCTCTCAGACCACAGGGCAATCAAACTAGAACTCAGGATTAAGAAACTCACTCAAAACTGCTCAAATACATGGAAACTGAACGACCTGCTCCTGAATGACTACTGGGTACATAATGAAATGAAGGCAGAAATAAAGATGTTCTTGGAAACCAATGATGACAAAAACACAACATACCAGAATCTCTGGGACACATTTAAAGTAGTGTGTAGAGGGAAATTTATAGCACCAAATGCCCACAAGAGAAAGCAGGAAACAGCTACAATTGACACCCTAGCATCACAATTAAAAGAACTAGAGAAGCAAGAGCAAACATATTCAAAAGCTAGCAGAAGGCAAGAAATAACTAAGATCAGAGCACAACAAAAGGAGATAGAGACACAAAATACCCTTCAAAAATCAATGAATTCAGGAGCTGGTTTTTTTTAAAAGATCAACAAAATTGATAGACCGCTAGCAAGAATAATAAAGAAGAAAAGAGAGAAGCATCAAATAGATGCAATAAAAAATGATAAAGGGGATATCACCACCAATCCCACAGAAATACAAACTACCATCAGGGAATACTATAAACACCTCTACGCAAATAAACTAGAAAATCTAGAAGAAATGGATGAATTCCTGGACACATACACCCTCCCAACACTAAACCAGGAAGAAGTTGAATCCCTGAATAGACCAATAACAGGCTCTGAAATTGAGGCAATAATTAATATCCTAACAACCAAACAAAGTCCAGGACCAGATGGATTCACAGCGGACTTCTACCAGAGATACAAGGAGGAGCTGGTACCATTCCTTCTGAAACTATTCCAATCAACAGAAAAACAGAGAATCCTCCCTAACTCATTTTATGAGGCCAGCATCATCCTGATACGAAAGCCTGGCAGAGGCACAACAAAAAAAGGAGAATTTTAGACCAATATTCCTGATGAACATCAATGCAAAAATCCTCAATAAAATACTGGCAAACAGAATCCAGCAGCACTTCGAAAAGCGTATCCACCATGATCAAGTGGGCTTCATGCCCGGGATGCAAGCCTGGTTCAACATACACAAATCAATAAACATAATCCAGCATATAAACAGAACCAAAAACAAAAACCACATGATTATCTCAATAGATGCAGAAAAGGCCTTTGACAAAATTCGACAGCCCTTCATGCTAAAAACTCTCAATAAATGAGGTATTGATGAGATGTATCTCAAAATAATAAGAGCTATTTATGGCAAACCTACAGCCAATATCATACTGAATGGGCAAAAACTGGAAGCATTCCCTTTGAAAACTGGCACAAGACAGGGATGCCCTCTCTCACCACTCCTATTCAACATAGTGTTGGATGTTCTGGCCAGGGCAATCAGAGAGCAGAAAGAAATAAAGGGTATTCAGTTAGGAAATGAGGAAGTCAACTTGTCCCTGTTTGCAGATGACATGATTGTATATTTAGAAAACCCCATTGTCTCAGCCCAAAATCTCCTTAAGCTGATAAGCAACTTCAGCAAAGTCTCAGGATACAAAATCAATGTGCAAAAATCACAAGCATTCTTATACACCAATAACAGACAAACAGAGAGCCAAATCATGAGTGAATTCCCATTCACAATTGCTTCAAAGAGAATAAAATACCTAGGAATCCAACTTACAACGGATGTGAAGGACCTCTTCAAGGACAACTACAAACCACTGCTCAACAAAATCAAAGAGGACACAAACAAATGGAAGAAGATTCCATGTTCATGGATAGGAAGAATCAATATCATGAAAATGGCCATACTGCCCAACGTAATTTATAGATTCAACGCCATCTCCATCAAGCTACCAATGACTTTCTTCACAGAATTGGAAAAAACTACTTTAAAGTTCATACGGAATCAAAAAAGAGCCCACACTGCCAAGACAATCCTAAGCCAAAAGAACAAAGCTGGAGGCGTCATGCTACCTGACTTCAAACTATACTACAAGGCTACAGTAACCAAAACAGCATGGTACTGGTATCAAAACAGAGATATAGACCAATGGAACAGAATAGAGCCCTCAGAAATAATACCACACATCTACAACCATCTGATCTTTGACAAACCTGATAAAAACAAGAAATGTGGAAAGGATTCCCTATTTAATAAATGGTGCTGGGAAAACTGGCTAGCCATATGTAGAAAGCTGAAACTGGATCCCTTCCTTACATCTTATACAAAAATTAATTCAAGATGGATTAAAGACTTAAATGTTAGACCTAAAACCATAAAAACCCTAGAAGAAAACCTAGGCAATACCATTCAGGACATAGGCACGGGCAAGGACTTCATGTCTAAAACAACAAAAGCAATGGCAACAAAAGCCAAAATTGACAAATGGGATCTAATTCAACTAAAGAGCTTCTGCACAGCAAAAGAAACTACCATCAGAGTGAGCAGACAACCTACAGAATGGGAGAAAATTTTTGCAATCTACTCATCTGACAAAGGGCTCATATCCAGAATCTACAAAGAACTCAAACAAATTTACAAGAAAGAAAAAAACAACCCCATCAAAAAGTGAGTGAAGGATATGAACAGACACTTCTCAAAAGAAGACATTTATGCAGCCAACAGACACATGAAAAAATGCTCATCATCACTGGCCATCAGAGAAATGCAAATCAAAACCACAATGAGATACCATCTCACACCAGTTAGAATGGTGACCATTAAAAAGTCAGGAAACAGCAGATGCTGGAGAGGATGTGGAGAAATAGGAACACTTTTACACTTTTACACTGTTGGTGGGACTGTAAACTAGTTCAACCATTGTGGAAGACAGTGTGGCGATTCCTCAAGGATCTAGAACTAGAAATACCATTTGACCCAGCCATCCCATTACTGGGTATATAACCAAAGGATTATAAAGCATGCTGCTATAAAGGCACATGCACACGTATGTTTACTGTGGCACTATTCACAATAGCAAAGACTTGGAACCAACCCAAATGTCCAACAATGATAGACTGGATTAAGAAAATGTGGCACATATACACCATGGAATACTATGCAGCCATAAAAAAGGATGAGTTCATGTCCTTTGTAGGGACATGGATGAAGCTGGAAACCATCATTCTCAGCAAACTATCACAAGGACAAAAAACCAAACACCGCATGTTCTCACTGATAGGTGGGAATTGAACAATGCGAACACCTGGACACAGGACGGGGAACATCACACGCCAGGGCCTGTCGTGGGGTCAGGGGAGGCAGGAGGGATAGCATTAGGAGATATACCTAATTTAAAGGACGAGTTAATGGGTGCAGCACACCAACATGGCACATGTATACATATGTAACAAACCTGCACGTTGTGCACATGTACACTAGAACTTAGAGTATAATTTTTAAAAAAAATGATCCCTCAGCGATTCCACACCTTATTTCTGCAATCCCAATTCCTCAGCACAGCTTTCAAGGTCCTGCACACCATTTCCATTCACTATGCACTTTTTTCTCCCAATGCCATCTGAGCTTCTTAAAAGAGCCCTCATGTCCACATGCCTTTGAACATGCAAATTTCCTTCCTTTCTTTACATTACTTACTCTCACTCATTCTTTAAGACTTGGCTCCCAGAGTTCTTTTCCAAGGAATCTTCTTTACTCCTCATTCATGTTCTACATTGTTTCATTTTTTACATACTTGTCCTTCTCCTTCTGTTTAGAACTGAGTTTCTTGAAGTGAGAAACTGTACCTTGCTGCATTGCAAGTGGTTAATATAAATGTTGATTCAATTTGTTCAACAAACATTTACTGAGCACTGATTCTGTGCAGTGCACTGAGCTGGGAGTTAGATGCACATGGGCTATCAATGCACGGTCCCCTGCTGTTTTGTGATATTGGTATCATGGGAAAGTGGGAGCAGAGTCTGACTACTTTAGATAGAAATACTTGTGTATAAATGTCATCTAAATTTATTCTCACAACTATCCTGTAACATAGATATTATCTCAGTTTTGCCCATGAGAAACGCAAAGCTCAGGGAGATTTAATGGCTTGCCCATATCATCCAGCTGGTGATTGGTATTAGAGGAGGCAGCATTGCATGTTGGTTAAGAGCTAGCTTTTGGAGTAAGACCAACTTGGGTTCAAATCCCAGCCTTTCCACATATGACCCATGTCATGTTACCAAAATTACTTCACATCTTTGAGCTCAGTTTCCCTTCTTAGAAAGAGGAGGAATATAATACCTACCATCTTGATAGCTGGTTTGAAATCCAAATTTAAAAATGAATACAAGCTTTTAGTCCAGGGACTGGTAAGGTCCCGGGGCAGGGAGTAGGTCATCTCAGAGCCCACATTCTTAATCACTCTGTGGTCCTTATATTCTGAGGAAGCATTGGGATCGACTGAAGAAAAGTAGATTCTCTCTGAAATTGCACAGGGAGCCTAAGGCTCAGACTGAGAATGCCCTTGTTTCTAGCAGTCAAGGACACCAAGAAAATTGCCTGTGTGTCAACTACATTGTAGATATTCCCTAGAGAATTCAGATCTTGCCAGCCATCAAATAATGAGACTTTGAGAAATGTGAAAGTGCTTTGAAAAATACAAATAGGCAGTATTTTTTTTATTGCTAACAGTCTAAGATGGGACTCTGTATGACTCCAGTGAACTTGTCAGCTTGTCTAAAAAATCATTTCCTTCTTTCAACATTTCTGTGGCTAGTATAATCATGATTTTGTATTCTCTTGAATGCATGCTATATCTAGTATGTTGTTAATTCTTTAGAGTACTTTGTTCCCGTTTTGTAAAAATAAGGTAATCCAATATAGATGTGATAAAATGGAATAAAATTTTCACAGTGTATTGTAATCTTGAGGCTAAGGACAATTATAATAATAGTGGGCAATTATTAAATAGTAGACAGTAGCAATCATACTAGGTGCTAGGTACTGGGGTTTAAAAAATACATTAATTTATTTAATGGAAGAAACCCAGTAAGAAATCTGAGATTTAAAGGGGCTTAAACTCCTTGCCTCAGGTCACATGCTGTGAGCACAGAAGCAGGAATCAAACCTGTTAGAAGCCAACTCCTCATCAGCCATCCTGTACTGAGCAGCTACTATATAGAAGGCCCTGGACTATAAGAAACCAATGTAAACAACACACTGCCCCATCCTCCAGGGGCTTATCATGTAACTCCAACATAAACCCCATCTGGCACAAGAGAGGGGATAAGTAAATACATGGGTAGATGTAATGGAGTAGTCAGTCACTAGATTTAGTCTTTCCTTGCTGAGTCCACTGCATGGTGGCACAGTCCTGCACTCAGATGATAAAAAGTCATGTTCTGGAAGTTCTTAACTTCTAGACCTATAACATATTGAGGGCTATAAATCAAATATTATTCAAAGCAGAGAAAATTGCTGCCTGAAGTGAAATATAAATGAAGAAAGAAAGAAAATCACAGCTGGAGAATCAGGAAAGACCTCGTGAAAAACATGCCATCTGAGATTGCATAGACCTCGCTAGCCATGTCTTAGTTCCCAGCATCACTCTGCTATTCTCATTAGAGTTTCCATTCTATTAATAATTTTGACCTAAGTCCCAGCACCTGTTGGAACTTTATCTCACAATCAAAGCAAGAAGATCTGGCTTGCCTTTCTGTCTTCATTTTTGCAAGGTTGTTCTCTCTGAAACATTACTGCCTCTTACCCTTGACACTGTGTGACTGCCACCAGGGTCCACAGGTCCATAGCTCATTGAGTCTGAGCCACAAAGACGTTTCATGTGAGGGCAAAAGGGACAGCAAGAGCTCCTGGATTCAGCAGGATTTTTCTTCCTTCTGAAAACAATGGGGGCCTTAGATCAGTGTGTCTTTTGGGTTCGAACATAAAACCATTTTGTGAAACTGCATCTAAAACACAGGCTTCATATTGAGACCAAGGTTTTAGTAAAGTTAAAGCCTATCATTTGGTGCCTTTGAAAGCGACCTTTAAAAATACCAACATTATGATTCAGTAATAGGATAGCAATTACTTTTGACTGGAGTTTAACAAAATTTTACCTTATTCTTAGTTCTTGTGTTGATGGGCTGTTCAAATGAGTTAATAATATCCTGAAAATGTTCAATAGGAATATACAAATAATAGCACTTATGCATAATCCTATCTAAATTATCCAAGACTTAGATCATTGCATTCCCTGATGCTAATAGGTCTTCCTGGCTTTGAGTTATAGTTTAAAAAACAAACATCTGAAATGCAGACACAAGAAAATATCTGCTTGAGGTTCTTGCAAGCTATAGAGACACAGCTTCTACACAGTCCTCTTTGTAGGGTACTCTCAAGCACTAGGACATGCCAGAGACACGAGATGGTCAAAACTGTGCACCATTGCCCCTGTGATCACTCTCTATGCACTCCCTCCCACCAATCCATAGATTTCACGGTGACCAAGGCCATCTCTCAATAATACAAATGTGGTCAGGCCCCTTCCTTGGTTAGAACCTCCCTATTGCTTACAGAATCAAGTCCTAAATCCCTAAAGAAGAGGGTCTTCCACAGTGTTTCGGCCTGAGTTTCAGCCTCAACCCCCATGCAAACTCTTTGTTACGCCCGCAACCTTTGCTCAGGGATATGGTTTGGCTCTGTGTCTCCACTCAAATCTCATGTTCAATTGTAATCCCCAGTGTTGGAGGTGGGGCCTAGTGGGAGGTGATTGGATCACGGGGGCGGTTTCTCATGGTTTAACACCATCCCCCCTTGGTGCTGTCATCACAATAGGGAGTTCCAGTGAGATCTGGTTGTTTAAAAGCATGTAGCACCCCCTCCATGCTCATGGTCCTGCTCCTGCCATGTAAGACGCCTCACTTCCCCTTTGCCTTCTGCTATGATTGTAAGTTTCTCAACACCTCCTCAGAAGCTGAGCAGATGCTGCCTTGCTTCCTGTACAGCCTGCAGAATCATAAGCCAATTAAACCTCTTTTCTTTATAAATTACCCAGTCTCAGGTATTTCTTTATAGCATTGTGAGAACAGACTAATACAACCGGGCTACCTCTCAGTCAGTGCCCTTTGCCCAGGCTGTCTCTCAGCCTACAGTGGCTTCTCATCTGGGTAAACATTTCTATTTATGTTTTAAGAAAAAAATTCAGACATCACCATCTCGAGATGGCTCCCTGTGACCCTGCTACACACACATTCTCCTCTGGGATCCTCCCCTTCTCGCTGCCTGCTCCAACTGTGACACTTCTTACATACTGCCGTTAGTACCTGTTGACAGGGCTGCCTCTCTCCCACAGTCAGAACTTCCAGAAGCCCAATTATTTCTTCCCTGGCCCTTAACAAAGTGCTTCACACACAGTAGATTCTCAATAAATATTTGTCGAATAAAGAAATGAATGAAATAGGTAAAATTTGTCTGTAGCCTTCCGCTCATCATCAGCTGCCTTTTCTCAGCCTTCCCTCCCTCCTCCCACCAATGTGCCGACCACTGTCAATTCCCTGTCTCCAGCCCTAGCTGTCCAGTTTTGTCCTAATCATCAACATGAAATGCTGCTCCCAGGAAAGTTTTTGATAAACTCACAAGGCTGACTCTCACACAGGGTTTTTACAATTTACTAGGTGACAAAATCATAAGCCAAAATAATAGATCTCTGATTGTCGGATTTCTTTAGCCTTGTAAGAGGCCCTGTCACAGTCCCTCTGCTCACACTTTGGCATTTTGTGTAGGGCTGCCTTTTCATGATTGTTAGAAGTGCCAGAATCTCTATAAACCCTTGGCTGTATGATCTGGGGCCCTAGTAAATCCGTCTGCTTCAAACTGAACGGTCCAGCCAATCTCCAAGAACTGCCAAAGTATTGAAGCTGCTTGAAAAAAATATATCTGGTTTTCTAATAAGGCTTCACATTTGAAAGATAAGGAAGCCTTTACCTACTAAATGATTTAAACTCAGCAGATGTAATTTAAACACTGATTGATTTTATCTTTCTTATTTGGTTAACTATTTAACATGCAGTTGTTAATATTTCCTAATGGGGTAAGAAAGAAATCATTAAAACCCTAATAGGAACTGAGCAAAGAATTCTTTCCAGTAGTCTTTCAGAAGATAACCAGTCAAACGGTGACAGTAAAAAAAAGATGATATCAGAAAAGTAACAGAGTTCAATAAATATTCAGCTCAGTTTCCTACGAATTCTGCAAGCTCCCTCTGAGTGTTTTGTAAGAGACCTTTTTAGGAAGATAAAGGATAGATGGTGAGTTCTATCGTGCCTACACATCAGAAGAAGGAGTGACCCACTTGGGAGTGACACACACTGCCCAATTTTCTTACGTGTAGGATGAAATAACTTGTGTTTAAAACATATAAACAGAATTCTGTCTGCCCAGCTACCCTCATGACAGAATGGCCCCGTGAATCCCAATACAAGCCACCTCTTCCCCTACCCAATTGAAACAGAGTATGATTCAAGAAAACAATGCTATATAAATTTTAATAGCTATCAGACATTTGGGCCACCAGAAAAGCCCACTTAAGCCATCTGATTATAATATATGTTATACTAGATTATGTATTGGTTTGGAATGGAAAATGGTTCTGAGTTCCAACTCAGCCTCTTGAGTTTGTCTACACACCCCTTTGAGTGAGGATAAGATTCCTTTGCTTCCTGACTTCCCCATCTCCCCAGAGTGGAACAAAGGTCTGGCAGCTGAGACATATTTCCTGAGATATTTAGTGCTGGAAGAAAGATAGGGAGCCTTCTAGTCCAATTCTCTGATGCAGTGTAGTAAAAATTAAAAGAGCTCATGCATGTATTGCCTGTAGCACAATAACTAGCATACACTAAGCCCTCAATAAAAGTTGCTATTAATAGTACCAATAGTAATATCTCAGAGCTGTGTAGTGGAACTGCAACCTGTCTGTCTAGACGCTCAAACTTTGTAATAAACCCAGTGGCCTCCCACTATGAAAGGACTACCTAGAGGGTGAGGCTTTGAAAAACTGCTTTAGAAGAGCCAATTATTTCCAAGCAATTTATTTTATTGTAAATCCCACCATTTTTATGCTCAGATAGTCCAGTTTAACAGTATCAACAGATAAAGTCTGATTTATTTTAGATTCCCAAATTATTTTCCCATTTCCTTTAATAAAAGGAGTCCAGACATACAAAGCAAATGTGCTAAAGAAAATCCCTAAATGATTACTTTCATTAAAATTGTGTTTACTTGAAAATTAGACAATAAACCTTCATATCTCAGGGCTCCAGACGTACAATTTGACAATAACCAGCACCTACAGATATATTTCAGCAAATACACTCCCACAAGATGCTTCAGGCTTTACAAAATGCCATGGCTGCTGGGAAACAACTTGGAACCATTGACCTTCTAAGCCTTATCCAAGAACAAGGGAAAACAAAATGAGGAAATTACTCCAACCCACAACACAAGAGCAGTAAAATATTTTCCTGCTTCCTGCCTAAAGCAATGGAGGACCTATCCAACATAGTTACTTTTACTTTACTCAGTCACTAAATAAATTGAATGGTTCGAGTCTACCAAACCAGAAAAGTCAAGTGTGGCTTCATAATCTCTCTGCCTAAAGGACATCATTATTGCCTGAAATGAATAAAACACTGACATTTAAATTTAAGTGGCAATAATAATAACAATAATAATGATAATGGCCAGGATTACAGGGAGGGATTTTGTTGGGGGAGAAAGGGTTTCACAGTCAAAATAAGTTTCAAAAACTCTTATTCAAACAGTTAAATCGATAAAATTGGCCACGTTTCTTTACCACAGTATACTCCAAGGCTTCAGTTCCCTAATGTGAATTATTGCTCCAGGAAAATAAAATACTACGTAACAATTTGCAAACATTTCTTTGCAGAGAATCAGATGGAGCTGATATTTCCTATAGCCCATTTTGGAATACTCTTAGATTATAGTCAGGTATTGTAAAGCACCTTCTAATATCAAAGTAACCATACGTATGGAGTACATTCTTACATTAGATCTTTAATATCTACCAGTTATATAATCTTAAAATATATATTGCTAACCATTGTCTATAGAAATTGAATTCACATTAATAGTGAAAAGAAAATTCACCATTTCTTATCTGAAAGATTATAGCTTGTTTACCACATACATTTAATTATTATTAAAGGTTTTCAATATTTGGCATGAAGAAAATAAACATTTTTTCCTTCTTCAGGTCACTGCAATTAAAGTTGACCTTGCTGAGCTAATGTAAGCATCAGTATAGATTTGTAAATGTATTTTTAAGTTATTTTCTCATGAAAGTGCCTATCTACTTATTATAGAAAATTTAGCAAATGCAGAAAAGATTTTTTAAACAAAATAGTAACTGATCACTAATAATTTCACAGCCCAGAAATAAACCTTGGTATGCTTCCTTTCACAGTTTTTTCTTTTAACTTTTTCACAAACTGAGCATTTTCCCTTGACATTAAAAACTATATAGATTTGAAAGCATATTATCCATGGCTAAACATGGTGGATGAAATCATGTGTTCATCTTCTTTGTCTCCTATTAAAAAGCGAAAAGTTACAAAGAGAATTTAAGAGTAGGCAATGTCATTTTTTTTTTTCAAGATGAAAAGTAGATGAAAGCATGGTGATTGCCTTAGTAGAACAGAAAAAGCTGAAACTCAGTCTCTACAGCTGGGGATTTTATCTAGATACAAAAAATTCACTCCAGAATCTTCTCCAAAGAGTTCCACAGAAAGTGGAGATGAGATATGGAGCAGAAAAGGACTGGCTTCAAATCTGCATAGGATTAGATGCCCAAGCCCCACTGACTATTCCTTCTCACCCCCTAAAACATAGATTGTTCATTCTTTGGATAAAATAAACCAGAGAACCTCCTAGCCATGGAATTGCCCAGCCCAGCAAAGGTCAAGAGAGAGGCTAACGATGACCCATGAGACTAAAACTGGGAGGTTGAGTGAAAGTCTGTAAATAAAAAGATGAGACCCCACCACACACACCCCGCCCCCATCAGAACACTGGCAACTAAGCTGATACCTGCAAGGTAACAAATTGGAGAATCCTTCTATGAATAAACAAAACTAAATAAACCCACATACTTAAAAAGCCATTTTTACTAATATTTGTGGCCCAACTAACAGAAAAGCTAACTCTCTGTCCTATTGTTATGGGATCTTTGGGGCAGCACTTTTCTGGCTGGAAACCTCTGTGCAGCTGCTACAGCAGAGTGGGCAGCTCCAAGTACCAGCATGGGCACCGGCTCTCTGTCAGGCTACAGCTGGACCAGACAAACCACAAGCAGCTTCCACGGCTGGCACCAGGGAACATGGTGGCACCTGGAAGCTTGGAGACACCAGGGTCCCAAGGAAGGGGTCACAGCACTGGCTCGGGAGCCCCCAGGACTGGGCACCCCAAAGGGCCACAGCTCTTCTCTCCTTCTCTTCACCTGCAACATGCCAAGCAAGGGGCATGTCTCAGCCCTGTTTGTGTTATAGCTCTTTTAACCTCACCACTCCTGAGTTCTTGTCCTGCAACCAGGAAGAATGAGTTACACAGAGAAGTAGAAGGTGAGCAAGAGAAAGAGGAGCTTTATTGAGCAACAGAACAGCTCAGAGGGGAACCACAGTGGGTAGCTCCTTTCCACAGCCAGGGTCTCCCAACGAGTGTTCATCTCCTAGAAGAGAGGGTAGCTCCTCTCTGCAGATGGTCATCCTGTCGTCTCTCTGTCATCTGCTCTGCTCTACTCTGGCTGAGCCCAGGGCTTTTATGGGCCTCAGAGGAGTGCCTGCCAATTAGTCCATGGGTGGCCATGGGAGGTCCCAGAAAAGGCACCACAAGTCCCCACTCCAGTCTGTGGGACTGGCAGCCCAGTCCCCAGCCTTCAGGCCCTCCCAGGCCTGAAGGTGGGGCCTCACTGGGGACCTGCCCTGTTCCATCCAGGAGGCTGTCTGCTTCCTGCCACTGTCCATGGCACCCAGGCTGCTCACACCAATGGGCACCTGCAAGCCAGCTCCCAGCCACCTTCAGTGACCCCCTCGATTTCCCTGCCCTCAGGCTTGTCAGCGGTCAAAGTCCAGAGGGGGCCAAGACAGCAGGGGGCTGTTGTGTCAGCACTTCCCTGAGCACACGCCCACCTAGCTAGACTGTTACAGTGCCCAGGCTCAGCCCCAACCACTCTCCAAGATCTGAGAGGGCGCTGGGAGTGGGGAGAGGCCAGGCAGTGGGAGCAGGCACCTCAGGGCCTGCAAGGGCAAGGTGGGGGCCTTCCTGGGCCCCCAACAGTGCAAAAAGGCCCAGTCCACAGCCAGGACTTGGGAGGCTGCAACAACCCAGAGGTGGGGGGCTGCAGGGGATGGGGGGAAGGCTCCTGCCTGATCCCAGCCCCCTCCAGCTCAGTGGGCATGCAGCCACAGCCACAGCCCCTAACAGCCTGGGGTGGGCACTCCAGGTGCTCACTGTGCCCTGGCCAGCATTGGGGGCAGGGGCCACATTGCCATGAGCTCCCTGATTCCCGCAGCATTCAGGGGTGGCCCAGGGCTTAGCGGATTGCAGCCCTGGCCCAGCCATTGGGAGTGTCAGGCTCGGCAGTCACCCAGTGGGGGGTGGACCCTGGGGATACAGACCTGGGTGGCCTTGAACAGAGCCTCCTCCCGAGATACAGGAACCCGGCGCCCTCCACGGGGTGGGCACAGTGGCTGCACCATTGGCCAGGTCCCCAAAGCAGGTACCACTCCCACTTCCCACCCTGGGCCTCCAAAGCATGACCCCAGTTCCACACACGAGGGCCGACTCTCACACTCCATGTGCAAGTATGGCACCGCCCCGGGCCCACCTCCACCTCAGGGCCCCCGTCTGCCCAACCACACTTCTCCCCTGCCACGCTGCTCCCCCACAAGCAGGCAACCCAGCTGAGCCCCATAGCAGTAGCCTCCAGTGCTGTGGGCTGCAGGACGGCTGTCCACCACCTCCCCGTGCCCTCCCTGCAGCCACTGGTGTGATAGCAGTGGCCTCTCCAGGCAGCCTGCAGCTGCCATCACTATCATCTACAATAATACTCTGAACTTAGTTCCCAGCCAGCTTTATGGTGCCTCACTCTTAACTATACATGGAGAGACAAAAACTCCAGACATAGAAGGAAAGCTTGAAATGTAAAAAAGAAATAGACATTAAAAACTAGAACTTAACAGAATCCCAGATATTTCAGGAAAAAGGATGAAACATAAAAATAAAACCATGATAAACATCAACATATATACATAAGAAAAGATACTGCAACCACGAAATGAAAAACAGAATCTGTGTAAGGGGACACAGGGAGTGAGGGAAAAAAAACTCAGAGATGTTTTTTATTTATTATGAAAATTTTACAATACTACAGGAAACAAATCAATAGAAGTTTGGAATGTAATGAGCTACTTCCCAGAGCGTGAAACAAAAAGACAAAAAAATGGGAAATGGAAAGAAAAGGAAATAAAATTAGAAGGTTAAGCTAAGAAGTTCGATACCTGACTAGTAGGATTGCTAGAAAAAGAAATGAGAAAACAGGACAAAGAATGTGTATGAGAATAATAATTATATTTTTAAATATATATTTTTTTATTAAATAGACTATTTTCCAGAACAGCTTTAGGTTCACAGTAAAATTGAGCAGAGAATACAGAGATTTCCCATATATTCCCTCCTCCCCTATACACACACATACGCACTCCCTTACTATCAACGTTCCCCCAGCAGAGTGGTACATTTGTTACAATCAATGAACCTACATTGTCACCCAAGGTCCATAGTTTATATTAGGGTTTATCCTTGGTCCTATACATTCTATGGGTTTTGAAAAATGTATGATATGAATTCATTATGATAGCAACATACAGAGTAGTTTCACTGCCCTAAAAATCCTCTCTTTTCTGTCTATTCATCCCATGCTCCCCACTAACCCCTTGAAACCACTGATCGTATTACTATCTCCATAGTTTTGCCTTTTACAGAATGCCATATAGTTAGAATCATACAGTATGTAGCCTTTTCAGATTGGCTTCTTTCATTTGGTAATATGCATCTAAGATTCCTCCATGTCTTTTCATGGTTTGATAGCTCATTTCATCTTAGCACTCAACAATATTGCATTGTCTAGATGTACCACATTTTATTTACCTATTCACCGACTAAAAGATATCTTGGTTGCTTCCAAGTGTTGGCAATTATGAATGAACCTTCTACAAACATCTCTATGCAGAGTTTTGTGTGGACATAAATTTTCAACTACTTTGGGCAAATACCAAGGACAGTGACTGCCAGATTGTATAGTAAAAGTATGTTTTGTTTACTAAGAAACTGCCAAACTGCCCTCCAAAGTGGCTGCACCATTTTGTGTTCCCACCAGCAATGAATGAGAGTTCCTGTTGCTCCACATCCTTACCAGCATTTGGTGTTGTCAGTGTTCTGGATTTCGAACATTTAAATAAGCGTGTAGTGGTATCTGTTGTTTTAACTTGCATTTCTCTGATGACATATGATGTGCTGCCTCACTTCACATGCATATTTGCCATCTGTATATCTTCTTTGATGAGGTGTCTGTTAAGTTCTTTGGCCCATTTTTTAGCTGAGGTGTTTGTTTTTTATTGCTGAGTTTAAAATATATCTGTATATTTTGAATAACAGTACTTTATCAAAGATGTATTTTGCAAATATTTTCTCCCAGTCTGTGACTTGTCTTCTCATTTTCTTAGCAGTGCAGAAGTTTTTAATTTTACTAAAATCCAGCTTACCAATTCCTTCATTTATAGATCATGCCATTGGTGGTGTATATATAAAAAAAAAAATTGTTGCCAAACCCAAGGTCATGTAGATTGCCTCCTGTGTTAATCTTCTAGGAGTTTTAGAGTTTTGCATTTTACTTTTAGGTCTGTGATCTCTTTTGAGTTTATTTTGTGAAGGGTGTAAGAACTGTGTCTAGATTCATTTTTTTTTTTTTTTGCATATTGATGTTCATGGTTCCAGCATCATTTGTTGAAAAGACTATCTTTGCTCTACTGTATTGCCTTTGCTCTTGTCAAAGATTGGTTGACTGTATTATGTGGGTCTATTTCTGGGCTCTCTATATGAACATGGAATCTCTCTCCACTTATTTAGTTCTTCTGTGATTTCTTTCACCAGAGTTTTAGTTTTCTTCATAGAGCTTTTGTTCATATTTTGTTAGATTTATATCTAAGTATTTCATTTCCTTGCATGCGAATGTAAATAGTATTGTGTTTTTATTTTAAATTCCATCTGTTTATTGCTAGTATATACGAAAGCAATTGACTTTTGAATATTAAGCTTGCATCATGCAACCTTACTATCATCACTCAGTTCCAGGATTTTTTTTATTTTTATTTTTATTTTTTGCTGATTCTTTCAGATTTCCTTCACAGACAATCATATCATCTGTGAGCAATCTTTTATTTATTCCTGATCAATCCATATATCTTTTATTTCATTTTCTTCTTTTATTGCATTAGCCAGGACTTCAAATATGATATTGAGAAAAGCAGTGGTGAGAAGGAATATCCGTGCCTTGTTCTTGATCTCAGTGGGAAAGCTTAAGTTTCTCAGCATGAAGTATGGCATTAGCTGTAGGGATTTTGCAGGTATTTTTTATCAAGTTGAGGAAGTTCTCCTTCTCTTCCTAGTTTTATGAGAGTTTTTATCATGAATGGCTGTTGGATTTTGTCAAATGCTTTTTATGAATCTATTGACATAATTATGCAATTTTTCTTCCTTAGTGTGTTGATGTGGCAGTATTCCATACAATTCCTGGAGAAAAGTTGTATTCATACATTGCATTCTGTAGCAGTACTACCTGCTGGGTTGTCTACCTGTCTCCTGGTTAACTGCTTTTGCTAAGAAGCCCAGCTCTCTCTGTACCCAGGAACACCCAAAGGCATTTTGTTATCTAACCCATTATCAGAACAAAACTTCTACTATTATAGATTCAGTTGGTAAATAATACTCTCCCACACAAGACTTTAGACAAAAGGGCTAGCACTCTCTTTTATAGCTTCCCTGGTGTCCTAAGCCACAGAGCAGCCCCTGATTTTGCCCTCATTCAATTTTTAAGTGCTTCTAAACTTACTAGGCCAGAGTAGAAAAAGGACGGTAAGTAGTTTCCATTCCTCTACCAAAACCAGTCAATTAGTAGAGCTTACTAGAGCACTACGTTGAAAGAATTCTGAGACCTGGTCTAGGCTCTGTGGAAAAGAGGGCATATCATGAACCTGCAAGAGATTATCTTTTTATATGCAGCAATTCTCAATTTGATTTAACTATGATACCCTCTTTTCAAAGAACTTATCTTGGGAGTAGTTTTTACAGAATACAGTTTAGAAAATGATGTGCCTCACATTGTACACTGCTCCATGTCTCAATAAGCTCATCCCTGGAGTCACAAAGGAACATGGCACATTGTGTAGCAATTCATACAGTTGGAGGCGTCATGATCATATATAGAGACTGTCTTGCCATTAAAAATAAACCAACGTGTTTTAAGATTTTGCTGACACTCTTTGTAGTAAGACATCACTCTTTATGATGAAAACTTCAGTCCCTGAGCTCTCCTCACTTATTGTATTCCCAATGGAGAGACTTATATTCTGGGGAAACCTTCATAAAGATTGACAAATAGAGAAATTTAGGACTTTTCTACTTAATTAGCAGAACACAAAGATGTCTCTAGAAATTTTTCTCAACACAATATGATTTTTCCAATGAAAATCTGAAGTGCCCAAAAGAGAAGAGTTCACTTTTCAGAAGTTCACACATGGATTAGTCCCTGTCATGTAACATTAGATTTGCATGTTTCGGTAGGTCAGCTGTTAGCATTGCTACTCTGGAGGGGACAGAGCAGGGGGTAGGGCCAGCGGGGTGGGGAGGTGGCCTCTCAGCTGTTGCATTTGGCATTGCACCTGTGCGCCTACTCAGAGCTTTTTGAAATGTGGCCCCATCCAGAATACTTCTAGTTACTTGAATGCTGGCAAAGATAAATACATTGCTTTTTAGTTTTGAAAAAAAAAAATGCCCAAAGGCATTTTTCTTCTTGCTGATTTTTCTTCTTGGACTCTAAAGAACACTCCTTTTCAACTTTTCTGGAATGTAGACAATCCTGGGAAAAGTATATGGATTTATTTTCCACCTTTTCTTGGCACCCTCCAACTGAGCTTTATTCTTTTCCCTAGCAAAGGGGTCCTAAACCCACATGCCCAGACAACCCAGACGACCTGAACTTTTCAGTGAATCTATGCTATCCTCAAATCCCGGACCATGGCTGCCCTTCCTGTGCCTCTCTCTTCCCATTCTGGCTTAGTGTCTCGTCTTCTTTCTTTCTCTCATCCAGACCTCTAAGTGAAACTTCTTTCATTTTTTAATTGTTTGTATCCTCTTTATTATTTTTAGCATCTCAATCTGGAGAATCAGCGAATGGTAGCAGAACTTCCATGGACATTGGTGTCAGATAGACTGAGTCTCAGACTCCAATTTAGCCACTGTCTGGATTTGGGCAAGTTATTTAATCACTTTAAGTTCCTTCATCTGTACAACAGATATTTTAATAGCTAATTTGCAGGGCTTGTGGAGAAATAAATGTGTGCAAAGGCCTAATGGTAGGTGCTAAATAAATGGTACCTCTTATTGTTGTTACTTTAATTATCATTGCTTCAATCTGCTGGCGACTGCTTTCTGTGGACTTCCCCTCCTCGCCATGTTGCTGTCCATCACCCTCTCCCTTCTCTGTAAGGGGCACAAAAGCACTGATCCAAAACCTGAATTGCTGGTTCTCTTGTCTAAGACCATTTGGTTACTGCCCAGGGAATAAGAGAAGCTCCCTTCCCATCCACTTGGCACAATGGGTCACATTATTTGCTAAAAGGCAACTAAATGAGACCAGGAGACTTTGTCATAATCAAGCTACCACCTCCCCCAACCAAAGTGAAAATGTGAAGACTTTTGGGCAAGACCAGGAGCGAGGACTTCAGGTGTTTATCAATTACTTCAAGGGCTAGGCCCTATTCCAGATATCTCCACAGCAACAGACCTTCTTTTGCATTTTAACTGTAGTCAGTGACTCCAAACCATTCCTCCTTGGGGAGAACATGAAGAACTCCTTGTCTGGTTTAGGATTTACACATCTGGGGAATCCTTGTCTTTACTAACCTGTTCCAGCTGCCCTGGTCCAGCTCTCCAGAGAACTCAATGTCACATGGGAGAATGAGGCACAGCTGCAGCTTGCAGTGAGCAGCTCCGCCAGGCAAACAGCCACCTCCCTTGTCAGAACAGAGAGAAACACCAGGCCCCTGGGGCTCTGTGCCAGAGGAATTTAGAATGTATTCCCCCTCTTGGGTCAGCCACTTCCCTGAGCCTAAAGGACTTCCCACGCCTGCTTTTCTCTGACCTCCCTGAGGAGTCACAGTTCCTCAACAAGCTAGCCACACTGATTTAGCATCCTTACCCACATGAACTATCTCCTACCCCTAGCCTCCTCCCATCTCCATCCCCAGTCTCTTTACTTGCTCTTTCCTATGCTTGGAAAAATCTGGCATAGTCCTTCCCATTCTGACCTTCTGCCCTGAAAGGCACAGATGGAGAAACACTTCTTCACTGAGCAATTACCTTGACAGCAGCCACATTTGGGGAGACAAGTAGAGACACCACCAGTTTTTAGGACTTCTCTACTTCTCCATAATTGGGTCCTTGTCATTAGGACTAAATCACCAAAACTGCCAGCAGCAGGGTGGTCAAGTCTCTCAGGAAAACTGTACTAGATATTCCTAATCTTTTCAAGAAAACCTGCTCTGCCCACTGGTCTGAAAGAGGCAGCTCTATCCTCCCATATGATCTTAACTGCATGGGCCATGACTGGATCATGATGAACAACTGACCAAAGAGAACTCAATCCGTTAGCTAGACAGTGGCTTATGACTCATGTGGTCCAGCTCAAACAGATGAGCTGGGCCAATCAGACCCTCACAAATTGTGTATCAAGACACACACAAGCCAGTTGCTATCAGTGCTGTCGGGAAGGCCACTGGAGTCATACGCAAGGTGAGTAAGCAGAGGAATTTGGTCAAGACGGGGCGGGAGGGAACAGAAGCATAGACAGAGGCAGAGATGGGAAGGCCACGATGATATGAAAAGATAGAGTAGCCCAGCTGTGCCTTCTAGCTCCCAGCCCCACCCTGTGAGGCTTACTCTACCTTTCATCTTTGCCCTATGACTTTCATTCAGTCTCCTTCTGGCGGAAGCTAGTTCAAACAAGGTTTCGTTTCTTTACAGTCAAAAGAATCTTAATGTAAGCAGTTTCTCCAGAATAGCTTCCTGTGTCTAAACATTTTTCCGGACGTGCTGCATTGTAGTCTGAGTCTCCTGTTAGTCAAAATAATAAATATAGCCATCACTTTCTGAATGCTTTCATTATGCCAGGCAGTGTGCTAAGAGCTTCATACATATTATCTCATTTTTTCTCATAGCGATGTAGTAGTAGTATCCCTGTTATACATGTAAGAAAACTAAGAATTAGAAAAGCTATGCAAAATTGCCCAAGGTCATGCACTTTCTAAGTGGGAGACCCAGCATCTGACTCTGTGCTCCTAACTATCCTTAGGATGTTGTCCTTTGTACAGTCAGACTGGCAGGATTAAGCATTGCAGCTGCAACCTGCAGGAATGTGGCTATAGGCTCCACAGGCCCTCCTGGGAGGGGCCAACATCCTAATGCCGTAAACCAACAAGGATGTCCAAGGTGGGACTAAGAATTATAGAGGCCACCACAGACACTGGTCACAACACCTACTCTCCCACCAGTGGGTCTCAAAAAAGATCAGAAGCATAAATCCCTTTTCCCATCTCCAGCTCATTACAGGATTCCAAGAGGAAATGTGAAAATGAAAACATGTTAGGAAGCCAGGCGCGGTGGCTCACGCCTGTAATCCCAACACTTTGGGAGGCCGAGGCAAGCGGATTACCTGAGGTCAGGAGTTCAAGACCAGCCTGGCCAACATGGTGAAACCCCCTCTCTACTAAAAATACAAAAATTAGCTGGACACTGTGGCATGCTCCTGTAATCTCAGCTACTCAGGAGGCTGAGGCACGAGAATCACTTGAACCTGGGAGGCAGAAGTTGCAGTGAGCAGAGATCACGCCACTGCACTCCAGCCTGGGCAACATACTCCACCTAAAAAAAAAAAAAAAAAAAAAAAGCAAGAAAGAAAGCAAGAAAAGAAAAAAAGAAAACATGTTAGGAAAGGCAGATGTGACTGCAAACTTACCTACAGCCCTGATGATTTTTTGAGGAACAATTCCTAAATATATTAAGTAATACAGAGGTAAACTTGATTTAAAAAAAAAATCTCCTTTATTTATCCCTTGGTAACCCTAAACATATTTTTAAATGAACATTTTCTAAATATAATGTCCTGGAGATTATTGTTAGGCTTCTGCTTCACTGATACACAATTCACAAAACTTATTTGTACAGGAAAAGATAAAAATCAATGCAGGTTGACAGTTAATAAAGTATAGATGGCAGCATGATATTTACTAAGTTGTCCAAGCCCCAATTCTGATCAAGCACTATTAGTTATCCTCCAGAGTATCTGCTAGGATAATAGAAATGACATTAAAAAAAGATGTCGTATTCAATAACACATTTACCTTTCCGGGACAGATAAATGACTGATATTGGGGGTCAGTGTATAACCCTCCTATGGGAAGAAAGACAATGATAAGTGCAAATAGCAATTAAATGTGCTCTAGAAGTTGTTGTGGTTTTGTTTTGTTGTTTTTTTTTTTTAAACTGGAGCTGTAATTACAGGGCTACTAAAGATGTGAAGTATATAGTTAAGGTTTTGTCAGCACTTTTATTGTAATACTTAGTGAGATTAGTCATTTTAGTTGTTCCCTTTGTATGCCAAAAATGGAAGACAGCTGTTTGTGCACTAAAAACTGCTTTTTAAAGGATAGTTCTCTCTGGTTATCAAGCATATTTTGCCATCAGGGAAACATATTTTAAAGCTTTTGCACTGTCAAAATGAAGTGTGTAGGAATGATTGCTTTAGCTGTTACTTCTAAATAACGACAGGAAGATCTAACATGTGGTAATACTGCACAAGGATGATACAAAGTATCTGGCTAGATTCACAACTATTCCAATTACTATCTCTTCCTGCAAGATGTATTTCTGATGGCACTCATCAGACCCTGAATTCATTCCCTGAGCTTGAGAGTGCTACAGAAGTGTTTAGGGCCAGTTCTGTGGCAGCCCTCATGGAAACAAAGAAAAGCCTAAGGGCTGGTAACCTGCATCACGACCAGCCCATCACCCAAGAACACAGCCAGCTTCTTTTGCAAGGTTGTACCTGTTAGTCAATCAAATCTAAATCTGAGAGTTGTGACTGACTTAGACCTATTCATCTTCCAAAGTATAAACCTTAAGAATTTGTTTCCACTAGTGCATTAAATATTTGCCATCTAACAGACCAAAAAGCCTGAAGCTTAACTAAATTTTAAATAAAGCTCATGTGTATCATTTGTTCTTAGTTGCAACATGTCAAGTTACCAAGAGAGGTAATATTTATCTCTCTTCTGTGGATGTTTTGAAGATCAACATCTTTTTTTTTCCAGAGGCACTCAATTATTTTTTTTCTCCTATTCAACCTATAACCTAATAGGAAATCTACTGCGCTGCTTTGCAGAATGAGTTTTTTTAATGGTCCTGACTCTTAAGGTTTTACTGTAGTTACTGAGTAAGACCTAAAAACATAAAACAATTAACCAACACTAATCAATGTACTAAAAGACGTCTGTGGCATGGATGGAGAGGTACAGCTCAGACCTGCTTTTAAGAGAAGAGTCACTGCCCATCTGTCAGGGCTGTGGGGAACAGACAACCTCCAGCTGTTAGCCTCTTCAGCTTGCAAGCCAAGGTCACACTCTTCTCAAGGTCACACTCTTGCCCAGACAGTAACTGAGCAAGGCAGTAGTACAGGACCTGGCCATTTACACCCAATGAGTGCTCCTCTAACAGGCTCTCTGCTACAGGACTCTTCACTGGACTGGCAGGAACTTTATCAGATCTGCATGCCATTTGATGGCTCCTGTGCCCAATCCTGCTCTTTTTCTTTCACCGCAATCACTTCTCAATAAACCTATTGCAGTCCTAACTATGTCTCAGAGTCTGCCTTCTGGAGATCCTGACCTGCAACAGGGTCAAAATATTAGCCAAAGTCAAGAAGGGGTTGGGACCAGGATTCTGCCATTATTAGAGGTGAAGAGGGTTTGGGAGAGGTATTAAAGTTCACCAGGGGAATTGTGACAATTAATGAGCTTTGAGCCCCACTGCCTTAAATGATACCTGCACGTGGAAGGCCAGGGAAGATCAGGAACCAGTGAAAGAGAGTTCTGATAAGACCACTCCAGTGTAAGTTAGGGAGGAAGGGCACTCGAGGAAGGAAGACGTGGTTCTCCACCATTCCTCTCCTGAGAAAGAGAGCTTTATAGTCATATTGTGGGCGAAATTCATATCTTGCACTAAGAAAAGTTCAATTGGAGTCCTAGCTCTCTCACTGATAATCCGTGTGACATTGGACAGGCCACTTTACTTCCCTGGATGTCCTTCTTTCACTAGGTCTGATGCTGATTCTCCTGCCCCCCTCACAGGGCAGTGATGTGGAACCAAGTGAGACAGTGCACAGAAAAGCATTTTATTGGCTGAACAGCCCTGTGATAACTACGAGAGGGTAAGGTCTTGTTACCATGGTACATATGAAGGGCTAGGAGGAAGAATATAAGATGGTGGCCAAGGGGTACCACCACCACCTCCTTCAGACACCAAGGGAGGGTGTGCAGAGCTCATCCCTTCTGAGGATGTCCACTCTCCCACTCCTCAGCATTGGACCCGAAGTCTAAGGACTTACGCTGTAGATACATTTAGCAAATCTCTTCCTTTTCAAATGTGTATCATTTATTCATTTTATTATTTTCTTCCTGACATATTTATAATTTAATCTGGTAATGTTAGGACAAAATATACACTCAACAAATATTTGGGCTGAACTGAGTTGATCCCTTAGTTTATTCTAGAGGTCTTTAAATGTTTTGTGATGCTTTCACAAGCTGCTTTTTAATATGGTAACGGACTGTTCTTTATATTAGAGTGAATGTCACTAGGTGTTAAAGAACATATTAGCTACCACATTCAACAGGAGAGAATAGCTTAGGACTGCAGGAAAATAAATATTCATAGCCTTTAGCTTGTATTTCATGAATTTTTTAGAGACAAAATTACCTGTGACGTTGTTAGTTCCTATGATGTATAAATTGCATTCTGGACATAGGGGTGGGGAGACAGATAATGCCTTTTATTTTGTTTTTGTTTTGTTTTTCTTTTTTGTGTTCAGTGTCTCTTTCCCAATTTCTTCTGATAATAACACTCCCACTTTGGGCAGAGACTACACTCCCTATCCCCAGTTAGTTCTAGTGGAATTGCCAATCACAGTAACTATGGTTGGCCAGGATGGGCCCACAACCAGGATGGGCTCCATCATGGCACTCATCCCCCTGGTCTACGTGACTGACCCAATAAAGTAGACACAACTCAAGCCAGCTAATTGAGTTAACTTATAGATGGACATTTAAAAAGTGGCATTCTTTTCATGCTCTGTAGGATGAAGGGTGGGCTGGTGTAAACTTACAGCTACCTGGGGTCAAACTCCTCCTTTTCCTCACCACACAAAAGTCTGTGTGCACTGGGAGCAAATGAGGTCAAATTCCAAAAGCAGAAAAGAGGCAACAAAGGAGAAAGACAGGGTGATGGGGGAGGAGAAGAAAGAAAAAGAGGCAGGTTTAGAGAGAGGGAAAGAAGGAGAAGGAAAGAGACAGGGGTTATAGAAAGAGAGGCAGAGAGATGGTTATAGAGAAGAAAGAAGAGAAAGGGTGTAATACAGAAGAGGAGTGAGGGAGAAGAGGAAAGAGGACAGAGGGAGTTCAAAAGAGAGAGAAGAGGAGAGGAAAGAAAAGAAGAAAAGAGGAAAGAAGAGAAAGAAAAGAAAAGATGACTGAGAACAGTGTATAAATATACTACAGAATTGACAAAGTGAAATGTTTCAGTATTATCATGTTGACTTACTTGCTAAACCCCAAAAGAACACTGAGAAAGTACATTTTGTGATTGAGAAAATAACATACTTTTCTAGACTGGAGGGTACAAATAATCACATAGCAATTTTAGGATCATTAACTTGAAAACTTTTGAAACACTACACAAAATGAGCGACATTACTATTTTTCCACATGTGATTAAGTAATTAGGATTCTTCAGTCAGAAACTATGTCCCTGTATTGCTGTAAGTGCCTTCAGCATAGCAAGTAAACAATGTTGTGAAATTAACGTGGAATGGATGGACAGAATAAACACAGTGAAATTTGGAGGTTCTCGAATCACATCCCCAAGGCTGCAGCTAAGGCATTACAACAAAGTGAGAGAACACATCTGTCTTTGGCTTTCTCAGCCTCCTCTTTCTGGACACTTTTGTCCCTTTTTGGTACCCCATCCCCCAATATTTTTCCCACCTCTCATATAATAAAACCTGCCTTCAAAAGACAAATTGACACTCCTGATAGTGTTGTAAAGGGCCAGTAGAACTTAATGGTCCATTCTTCATAGGGTCCTTCTAAGGGTCATTTTAAAAGGAGAACAAAGAAGCAAAGTTTTCAAGTCACAAAAATAAATATTTAATTCTGGAATTTCTGGCCTAAGTTAGCAAATGCTGGGAGCATTTGGGAGGATGGCACAGGAAGGAATGGGCCTCCTGGGACTCCCCTGGTCACATGGGTGGCTATCTACATGCTAGTCCTGGGTGCCAGTAACACAAAGTCAGGGTTCAGGCTAAGAATTTCTAAAATTCTGACCACTGGGCCCTCAAAGGAAGCCAATCTGCTTACATCTGATTTCAGTTGCTTATGTTTTGCATTTTTCTTGTAGAAAAATAAAGAGTTATTTTGGTCACATTATGCCACTGAAATCACAGAATGTTTTCCAATGCTTTTAATGACCACCCTGAAAAGAACAAATTTATCACTGTCTCACAACTTCAGAGAGTTTTTCAGAAACTATAAACAAAATATTTCATAATAAACTCTCTCTCTCTCTCACACACACACACACACACACACACACACACACACCCCACAAAGGAAGGAGTAACTAAAAATGCTCCATTCATCAATGATCAATTTTGGTCTTACTATAGAATTCTTTTAGTGTGCATTTTCCTTGATTTACTGGTGAGTAAAAGCATGCCTTCCTTTAAGGATTTCCATGTATTTTCTGCTTTTAGGCTAGTGATGGTATAAAATGTTTATCTTGGTTGCCAACTCCTGTGGATTGTTAGTGGCTGACTAAAGCCCTACGTTGACAAAGTTGCTGAAGCCATGTCCAGGTACAATGAGAAAAAAAGTACTATAATTGATTCTCATGTTTGCCATGCATGCAGAGGGAAAAATAATCACATGCCATCAACTGTTTTTGCCACTTGTCATACACTGCCCCCTCTACTGGTCCCCCTTGAAGTAATCCCTCTTCCAAACTAGTTCATACTTTAACCTTAGAGTAGAGAATAAAACCAGGTCTAATCTAATTAATATTTCACATTTTCTTGATCATAATGATAGTTTTATGGATACTCAAATAATCCAGTTAGAGGCAGTAAGACTTTAGTGGGGGATGCCACACCAAAGACTCTCAAATTTTGTCTGCAGCATTTCAGCTTGGGAGGCTTTTATGGTTTCTAGTAACTATATTGCAACCAGGAGAGAAAGATCACCTGAAAATGAAACCAACCCAGAGGTAGTGGAAACAAAACTGATGAGAGGAACTCTCCAAGGCATGTCATTAAGCCCTATTGAAAACTAGGCTTAAGCTACATAGAAATGTAGTGGGGGTGGAGTGGCCAAGATGGCCAACTAGAAGCAGCTAGCATGTGTGGCTCTCACGGAGAGGAATAGAGGGGCGAGTAAAAACAATACCTTCAACTGAAACATGCAAGTACTCGCATTAGGATTAACCAAGGAAACAACCTGACACACAGAAAACAAAGAAAAGCAGGACACTGAACAACGGCCCACTGGGGAACAGCACAGAGCCAGGGGATCCTCCCCAGTCCTAGAAAGCAGTGAGTGAATGAGTGACCCTGGGATCGCTTCTCCAACAGATCTTTGCAACCCTTGGCTCAGGAGATCTCCCTGTGAACCCACACCACCAGGGCCTTCAGTCTTCAGTCTGACAGAGCCATCTGGATTCTCACCAGAACAGCCACTCAGGCATGTGTGGAGAACGTGGAGGTTTAGGTGCTTGGGCTTTCTGGCAAAAGTAGCTGCAGCTCTGGCAAAATCGGAGGTTAGATTCCTGTACCTACCCTTAGGAAAGAGGCTGAATCCAGGGGGCTGAGCAGGAACAGTCCACAGGCCCCACATCCTCACCACCTCACAAGCTAAGACCCACTGGCTTGAAATTCCAGCCGGCTACCAGCAGCAGCATTGCACCTCCCTAAGAAGGAGCTTCTTGGGGAGGAGTGGGCTGCCATCTTTGCTGTTTGAGTGCCTTAGTCGTTCCAGCCTTCAGGTTTTGGAAAGTCTGAGCCAATCCAGGGCAGAAGAGATCCCCTAGCACAGCACAGCTGCTCTACCAAAACATGGCCAGTCTGCTGCTTTAAGCAGGTGCCCGATCCTGTTCCTCCTCACGAGTGGGGCCTCCCAATCAGGACCTCCAGCCACTCCCACCTGAGCTCTCCAGCCAAAAGAACTGTGAATTCCCCCTGGGAGGGTGCTCCCAGAGGGAGGGGCAGGCTGTTATCTTTGCTGTTTGGGCAACTTAACTGTTCCAGCCTTTGGGCTTCAGAGTACCTGAGGTGACCAAGGGCTGAAGTGAACCCTCAGCACAATGCAGCTATTCTATCAAAACAAGGCCAGACTGCTTTTTTAAGTGGGTCCCAATCCTGTTCCTCCTCACAAGGTGAGACCTCTCAACCAGGGTCCCCAGCCACTTCCTACAAGTGTCTTTGGGCTGACAACAGGTTCGTACCTCCCTGGGATAAAGCTTCCAGGGGAAGGGACAGGCTACCATCTTTGCTGTTTCACAGGCTTCATTGGTGACACCTCTAGGTTTTGCGAAATCCAAGGTGACTAGGAACTGGAGCAGGCCTGAAGCATACCATAGCAGCCCTATGGAAAAGTGGCCAGACTGTTACATGGGTGACTGTTTCCATATCTCTTCACTATGCAGGTCCTCCAGGCCTGGGCCTCCAGCCACCTCCTGTCAGAGCTAATCAAGCCAGCACCAACTCAGCAACTCCCTGGACAGACCCTCCAGGAGCAACTGAAAGCCTCTCAGTAGAGAACTGCCCTTGCTACCCTCAGACTAATAAAGGAGGAAAGACCCTAAGTGCCTTATCCACACCTCCAACAAGCTGCAGTTAATCCAAGGAGAGGCCAGTCTGTCTCCCACGGGTCCCACACCATCCTCCCTCCATGGCTAGTCACCAGACAGGGAATCTCTGGCTTGGGCTCACAGCACAGACCCTCCATCTTGGGCTGACTGTACTGAGTGATTGCTAACCTGCATCTTCCTGGGGTGGAGCCCCCAGGAGTCAATAAAATGACCCTTGGCCACACCACCACTAAGATCTCTTCCTCTATGGCCTCTAAGCTGAGGAAGGAATATAAACACTGAGATTGCCCCAGAGCTGCAGTGAGCAGCCCAGAAGTGCCAAGTCACGAACTACAGCCAGAACTAAAGGGTGGAGAGGTATCCACACTTTCAGAGCACTAAGAGGTAAAACAGCTCCAACTGTGAGGAAACATAGGGAAACCACCCAACCAAGCAAGAGTCTACCAACTGACCAATAGGCCTAAGTGTCACCTTCTGGATCACACTCCAAAGCTTCAACACCAAAAATATCTCACTAACATAACCCCTTCTGAAACCAGAGACAAGAAGTCAGCTTCAAATAAAGACCCTCACAAAGCCTTGGCCTAGTGAAAACATCCAGAAAAGAAGTCTATTTGACTGTATTCATCTACACTACAGTTAAAGGAACACCCACATGCAGAGATGAGAAAGAATCAATGCAAGAACTCTAGTAACTCAAATGGCCAGAGCGTCCTACATCCTCCAAATAACAGCACCAGTTCTCCAACAAGAGCTCTTAACCAAGCAAGCTCGAACTTGCTGGAATGACAGAAATAGAATTCAGAATATGGATAGGAATGAAGATCATCAAGATTCAGGAGGATGGCAAAACCCAATCCAAGGAAAATAAGAATCACATTAAAGTGATACAGAAGTTGAAGGATAAAACAGCCAGTATAAGAAAAGAACCTAATGAGTCTGAAAGAGCTAAATAACACAATACAAGACATTCACAATTCAATCACAAGTATTAACAGCAGAATAAACCAAGCTAAGGGAAGAATCTCAGAACTTGAAGACTGGCTTTCTGAAACAAGACAGTCAAAAATAAGGAAAAAAAAAAAACTAAAAAGGAATGAACAAAACCTCCAAAAAAGTATGAGATTATATAAAGAGGCAAAATCCACAAATCAATGGCATCCCTGAAAGGGAGGAGGAGAAAGCAAACAACTTGGAAAACATATTTCAGGATATCATCCATGAAAATTTCCCCAACCTTGCTAAAGAGGCCAACAGTCAAATTCAGGAAATACAGAGAACTCCTGCAAGATTCTACACAAGAAGATCATTCCCAAGACACATAATTGTTAGATTTTCAAAGGTCAAAATGAAAGACTGTTAAAGGCAGCTAGAGAGAAAGGGCAGGTTACCTACAAAGGGATCCCCATCAGGCTAACAGTGGACCTCTCAGCTGAAACCCTACAAGCCAGAGAGATTGAGGGCCTATATTTAACATTCTTAAAGAAAAAAATCTTCAACCAAGAACTTCATATGCAGCCAAACTAAACTCCCTAAGTGATGGAGAAATAAGATCCTTTTCAGATAAGAAAATGTTGAAGGACTTCATTACCACCAGATCTGTCTTACAAGAGATCTTGAGAGAAGCACTAAATATAAAAAGGAAAGATCACTACCAGCTAATCCAAAAATACATGTAAACACACAGACCAGTGTCACTGTAAAGCAGCCACACAGTAAGCCAACATAATAACCAGCTAACAGCACAATGACAGGATCAAATCCACACATATTAATATGAACCTGGAAAGTAAACAAGCTAAATGCCCCACTTAACAGGCATAGAGTGAGAAACTGGATAAAAAAGAAACATCTATGGTATGTATGCTGTCTTCAAGAGACCCATCTCACATGTAATGACAAAATAAAGGGATGGAGAAAAATCTACCGAGCAAATGAAAAACAGAAAAAAGCAGGGGTTGCAATCTTACTTTCAGACAAAACTCATTTCAGATCACAAAGATCAAAAAAGACAAGGAAGGGCATTACATAATGATAAAGGTTTCAATTCGACAAGAAGGCCTAACTATCCTAAATATATATGCACCCAACACAGGAGCACCCAGTTTTATAAAGCAAGCTCTTAGAGACCTACAAAGAGACATAGGCTCCCACACAGTAATAGTGGGAGACTTCAGCAGTCCACTGACAGCATTAGATGGAACATCCAGGCAGAAAATTAACAAAGACATTCAGGATGGTAACTCAGCATTGGACCAAACGGATCCAATAGACCTTTACAGAAGGTTCTACCCAAAACAACAGAATATACATTTATCTCATCACCACATGACACATACTTTAAAGTCAACCACATAATTGGACATAAAACAATCCTCAACAAATAGAACCAAAATCATACCAAACACATTCTCAGACCACAGTGCAATAAAAATACAAGTCAACACACTGAAAATTGCTCAAAATCATACAATTACATGGAAATTAAACAACGTGCTACTGAATGACTTCTGGGTAAATAATGAAGTTAAGGCAGAAATCAATAAGCTCTTTTAAAATAATGAGAACAAAGATACAACATATCAGAATCTCTGGGACACAGCTAAGGCAGGGTTAAGAGAGAAATTTATAGCACTAAATGCCCACATCAAAAAGCTAAAAAAAAAATCTCAAATTAACAACTTAACAACTGAAAGAATCAAAGAAGCGAGAACAAATTAACCCCAAAGCTAGCAGAAGATGAGAAATAACAAAAATCAGAGTTGAACTGGAGGAAATCAAGACAGAAAAATATTCAAAAGATCAACAAATCCAGGAGTTGTTTTTTTGAAAAAAAATCAATAAAATAGGCCACTACCTAGCCTACTTAAGAAGAAAAGAGAGAAGATTCAAATAAACACAATTAGAAGTAATGAAGCAAATGTTACAACTGACCCCACAGAAATGCAAACAATCATCAGAAACTACTATGAACATTTCTAAACACACAAACTAGAAAACCTAGAAGAGATGGATAAATTCCTGAACACATACACCCTCCCAAGACTGAGCCAGGAAGAAATTGATTCCCTGAACAGACCAATAATGAGCTCTGAAATTGAATCAGTAATAGCCTACCAACAAAAAAAAAAGCCCAGGACCTGATAGATTCACAGCCGATTTCTATAAGGTGTACAAGGAAGAGCTGGTACTATTCCTACAGAAACCATTCCAAAAAATTGAGGAGAAGGAACTTCTCTGCAACTATTTCTATGAGGCCAGCATCATTTGATACCAAAACCCAGCAGAACACAACAAATAAAGAAAACTTCAGGTCAGTACCCTTGATGAACATCAGTGCAAAAATTCTCAATAAAACACTTGCAAACCAAATCCAGCAGCACATCAAAAAGCTAATTCACCACAATCAAGTAGGCTTAATCCCCAGGATGGAAGGTGGGTTTGACACACAAATCAATAAATGTGATCCATCACATAAACAGAACTAAAGACAAAAACCACATGATTATCTCAATATATGCAGAAAAGGCTTTTGATAAAATCTAACATCCCTTCATGTTAAAAAAACTCTCAACAAACTAGGTATTGAAGGACCAAACCTCAAAATAATAAGAGCCATCTATGACAAACCCACAACCAACATTATACAAAATAAACATAAGGTGGAAGGGTTCACCTTGAAAACTGGCGCAAGACAAGGATGCCTTCTCTCACCACTTCTATTCAACGTAGTATTGGGAGTCCTAGTCAGAGTAATCAGGCCAGAGAAAGAAATAAAGGACATCCAAATAGGAAGAGAGAAAGTCAAACTATCTCTGTTTGCAGATGACATTATTCTATATCTAAAAAGCCCCATAGTCTCAGCCCAAAAAGCTCTTTCAACTGATAAACAACTTCAGCAAAGTTGCAGGATAAAAAAATCAATGTACAAAAATTACTATTATTCCTATACAACTACAACAACCAAACAGAACCAAATCAGAATGGCAATCCCATTCACAATTGCCATACACACACACAAAATAAAATACCTAGGAATACACCTAACCAGGAAAATGAAAGATCTCTACAATGAAACTTACAAAACACTGTTCAAATAAATCAGAGAAGACACAAGCAAATGTAAAAGCATCCCCTTCTCATGGATAGAAAGAATCAATAGTATTAAAATGTCTACAGTGCCCAAAGCAATTTACAGATTCAATGCTATTCCTATAAAAATACCAATGACATTCTTCATAGAACTAGTAAAAATATTTTAAAATTTATATGGAACCAAAAAAGAGCCTGAATAGCCAAGGCAAGCCTAAGCAGAGGAGGAATCACATTACCTGACTTCAAACTATACCACAAAGCTACAATGACCAAAACAGCACGTTACTGGTACAAAAACAGACACACAGACCAATGGAACAGAATAGAGAGCCCAGAAATAAGGCTGAACATCTACAACCATTTGATCTTTAACAAAGCTGACAAAAACAAGCAATGGAGGAAAGACCTTATTCAATAAATGGTGCTGGGATAACCAGCTAGCCATATGCAGAAGATTGAAGATGGACGCATTCCTTATGCCATATACAAAAATCATCTCAAGATGGATTAAAGACTTAAATGTGAAACCCAAAACTATAAAAACCCTGAAAGACAACCTAGGCAATGGCATACTGGACTCAGGAATAGGCAAAGATTTCACGACAAAGACACCAAAAGAAATCACAACAAAAGCAAAAATTGACAAATGGGATCTAATTAAATTTAAGAGCTTCTGCATTGCAAAAGAAACTATCAGCAGAGTAAACAGACAACCTACAGAATGGGAGAAAAATATTTGCAAACTATGCATCTGACAAAGGTCTAATATCCAGCATCTTTAAAAAACTTAATGATATTTACAAGAGAAAAACAAACAACCCCATTAAAAAGTGAGCAAAGGACATGAACAGACACTTCTCAAAAGAAGACATACATGCAAACAACAAACATATGAAAAAAAGCTCAATATCACTCATCATTAGAGAAATGCACATAAAAACCACAATGAACTACCATCTCACACCAGTCAGAACGGCTATTGTTAAAAAGTCAAAACATAACAGATGCTGGTGAGGTTGTGGAGAAAAGGGAACCTTTACACACTGTTGATGGGAGTGTAAATTAGTTCAACCATTGTGGAAAGCAGTATGGTGATTCCTCAAAGAGCTAAAAGCAGAACTACCATTTAACCCAGCAGTCCCATTACAGGGTATATACCCTGAGGAATATAAAGCATTCCACCATAAAGACACATGCATGCAAATGTTCATTGCTGCACTGTTCACAAGAGCAAAGACATGGAATCAACCTAAATGCTCATCAATGACAAATTGGATAAAGAAAATGTGGTAGATATACACCATGGAATATTATGCAGCCATAAAAAAGAATGAGATTATGTCCTTTGAGGGAACATGGATGGAGCTGGAAGCTATCATCCTTAGCAAACTAATGCAGCAAGAGAAAACCAAATACTGCATGTTCTCACTTATAAGTAGGAGCTAAATGATAAGAACTTGTGAACACAAAGAAGGAAACAACAAATACTGGGGTCTACTTGAGGAGGGAGAAGAGCAGAAAAGAGAACTATTAGGTGCTAAGCATAATATAATACCTGAGTGACATAACAACAACAAACAAACCCCTGTGACATGTGTTTATCTATGTAACTGTGAACCCCAAAAACCTGAGACAGGTCTCATTTAATTTTAAAAAGTTTATTTTGCCAAGGTTGAGGCCACACACCTGTGACACAGCCTCAGGAGGTCCTGACACCATACGCCCAAGATGGTCAGAGCACAGTTTGGTTTTACACATTCTAGGGAGACATGAGACAACAATCAACATATTCAAGATGGACATTGATTCGATCTGGAAAGATGGGACAACTCAAAGGCAGGAAAACTCAAATCAGGGAGGAGGCTAGGTCATAGGTAGCTAAGAGACAAATGGTTGCATTCTTTTGAGTTTCTGATTAGCCTGTCCAAAGGAGGCAATAAGATATGCATTTATCTCAGTGAGCAGAGGGGTGACTTTGAATAGAATGGGGGGCAGGTTGGCCCTAAGCAGTTCCCAGCTTGACTTTTCCCTTTAGCTTAGTGATGTGGGGGCCCAAAGATCTATTTTCCTTTCACATAGCAAACCTTCATATGTACCTCCAAACCTTAAATATTTTGAAAAAAAATTTAGAGGTCTCTTCCGCAATTCTGGGACCACAAATGCCAGAAAACTTCCAAATACTTCACCCTCACAAAAGTATGAGCTTTAAGATCTGGACTTTGCCCTACTGGATATCTCCATTCCATTCTAAGAAATAGGAAGGAATTGCTAAAATATGAGGGGTTTCTGACAATAAACCTCAATATAATCAGTGAATACTTCCTGAGCACCTGCCTTTTGTCATGCTCTGGTCAAGGAACTGAGTGTAGAGATGAATATAAAATGTAATCTCTGACATCAGTGATTTCATTAGGTAGCACAGGACACTAAGCCAGTATCTGCCACTTTATCAGCCTTCCAGCTATGTCTGCTCTAGCCTTTAAATCAGAGTGTGTCCAGATAATAAATCAAATGTTTACACGTGTGGAAGGAAAGAGTACCAGTAGGGATTTTTTTTACTCTTAATCACTCATTTGAGCACACATAGTACCTGGAAAGAAAAAAGAAATCTCTTTTCTGTCTTTGCATCACCAGAAATTTGCCTTGCAGGATCTGGTATAGTCTAGCTGGCCAGGGGATAATGGTGGTTTGGGTTGGAAGAGGAGGAAGGGTTTCCTCCGTAGTTTAGGTTTGCTTCAGTTTCACCAGTGATTGTTCTCAAAGGTCCCGATAACAGAACCTCTCAACATCTTTCCCCTAAAGAAACTATGATAACCTTGTATCTTTATGACATGACCACTTACGCATCCCAATAAAACTGAGAGAAATAATAGCTTTCTTTAACGCTTCTCTAAGAGAACTCTTGTCTACTCTCATTGACTCCCAGATATACATCTCTATCCCAGATCCTTCTCCTGATCACCAGACCTATAATGACTGGTGGACACCTCTATGTGACTGTCATGTGGCTGCTTAAAGTTCACCATGCCATAGACTGAACTCACTGTTTCTACCCCACCTTGATCTTTCTATTCTCGGTGACTAGCCGCATTGTTCACTGGTTCCATCCTCTTCCTCATTCTTTATTCAGTACTCTTCATTTCCTATGAAATAACCCCATAATGCCCTACTGACTTCTTGTATTCATCCACTTCTTTCAATCACCACTAGCACTACTTTGGTTCAGTCCACTGCTCTCTTTTGGATTGTTGCTATTCTCCCAATTAGTGTCTCCACTTCTAGTCTTACCTGCTCTAGTCCAGTCTCCAAAGTCATTTTTATAATTTAAAAATCTGAGTATGTATCCTCCATTTGAAGCACTTTAATAGGACCCCCTTTATCTTCAAATAAAGTCCTTCACATAAATCACCACGCTTTCATTATATGACCTGTTCATCTCTCCAGCTTCACATAGTGACACTCCCCACCTTATTGTCCATAATCCATACTATTCCAATTGTAGTTCTCCCAGTGGAAAAAAAAAATTCTATTGCCTCTGGAATTTTTCACATGCTGGCCAAAATATTTATTCTTTGTCTTTTTTATCTGTGCTCTCTCCCAGTTCCACTTTCCTTTTTTCCTGCTTACTCTTGCAAAAAAAATCCTCCCTGATACCTAGAGGACTACATCTGTGTTGGTGTCTCTGAAATTTACTCCCATAGGGTGCTTGACTTACCCAATATTGTAGCCCAAACCCACTGAACTGACTGTAAATGCTTTGGAAGGTGAACCATGACATGTTTGTTGTTAATTTCCTGATGACTAACATACAGGATGGCACAGAATCAGACATCAAGAAAGATGAATCAAAAGAGAATGACATCAGTAAGATGGCAGAGTAGGAAGCCCTGGACCCTCCTTCTACCTACAAACACAAATTCAGCAACAATTTATGGACAAATTCCCTTTGTGAGAAATCAAAAACTAATTAAAAAGCTCCTGCACTCTGGAACAGCATAAAAACAGACATAGCAAAGCCTGTGGACAGATTCAGGATACTGTCTTGTCAGAGACCCTTGCCCCCAGTGCAGGGCCATACATTCAGGAAGAAACCCTGTAGCTTCCAGCTTCATGCAGTCGAGGTAAGGAGCTGGTTGCACATTCAGCACCCCAACATTTCCAAGGGAGTCCCCAGAGGTTTGCCTTCTTTCTTGCTAGACCTGGTGCTCTAATGGGTCTGGTATAGTCTAGCTGGCCAGGGGATAATGGAGGTGGTGGCTTGGGTTGGTAGACAACATTGATTTCCTTCTCCCCCAACTCCAGTTGGCACAGAGTGAGCAGATGAAAACTTTCAGCCCTCAGCTTCCCCCAGGGAGGAAAAGAGCTGATCTGTGCAACCAGAGCTCCAACTTCTCCAGGGCTGCTCAAACTATTGGCATCTGTTTCACCAGTCTTGAAGCTCTGATGTGTGCAGTACAGTCTAACTACCCAGGAGAGAACAAATATGCCAATTTGGGTTGGTAGATGCTATAGTTTGACCACCCCACTCCACTCTCCAGCTCAGCACAGAAAGAGTGAACAAAGCCATAGCTCCTGCTTCTCCCTGGGGAAGTAAAGAGGTAGTAGATGTCCATAAGAATCACTGGCTGGGCTGATGGGGGGTTGGGGGTGTATTTTCCTGTATGAAGCCAGTTCATGAAGACTGTGATAGCTGCCTGTTTTGTCTAATAACCCTCGGATATCAACACAGGGAGTCAAGGAAATTAAATAATTGGGCAAAGATATTTTTAAAAAGGGAATTAAGATACATTTCCAAAGACTAACCCTAATGAACTGGAGTTACAACTTCATGAAGATGTGGACTGAGTCAGTAAAACATGCATTTAAAAAGTGAGGATTTCAACAGAGAGATAAAACATATTTTAAAGTGCCAAATAGAAATAGAAATGCATAATAGATGAGCCAAATATTCACTGGAGGGGTTCAACAGCAGACTAGATCATGCAGCAGAAAGGATCAGTGAACCCAAGCACAGGTCACTAGAAATAATTCAGTCAAAGAAACAATAAGAATTAAAAGAAAAAATGGAGAAACTTAAGGGACTTATGGATCACCATCAAGTGGGCCAACATACATATTAGGGATATTTTAGAAGGAGGAGAGAGAAAGGACCAGAAAGATTGTTCAAAGAAATAATGGCTGAAAACTTACCAAATCTTGGGAAGAAAATGGACATTCAGATCTAAGAAATTCAAAAGACACCAAATAAGATAAACCCAAAGAAATACATACAAATTTGTAATCAAGTTGTTAAAAGTCAAAGACAAAGAGAACTTTAAAAACAGCAAGAGAAAAGTGACTTGTCACGTACAAGAGAACTCTATAAGACTACCGGTGGGTTTTTAAGCAGAAAGTTTTCAGGTCAGAAGGGAGTGGGATCATATATTCAATATGCTGAAAAAAAACTGTCAGTGAAGAATACTATACTCAAAAAATTTTTCTATAAAAGTGACACAGAGTAGGAGGATTCTGGAAAGGTGGTAGAGTAGGAAGCACTAGGAATAGTAATCTGTTTCCCCATCTACACAAAAATTACCCTGGACTAATCTGTCTAATGTAATTATTTTGGAACTCCAAAGTTCATTGAAGGCTTGCAACTTCCAGCAGAAGGTTTGGATGATAAATATGGTTAATGTCAGTCAATTTCAGCTCTTAACACAGTAACAGCTACCCATCTCCACCCATACTCTCTCCCCGTGGGAGGTAGCCAGCACATGATCCTGGAGTAACTTTCACAAAGCTTTTGGGAGTCATGGTACCAAATATCTGGTATCTGTGCTGTGATTTCTGATTGCTGCTTCTGATCACAACAGCGTAGACAAGGAGGTAGTGGCTATTGTTGGACTTCCCTCCATTGTTGCAAGCCCCATCCTTTCTGGATAAAGTGACTTCCAGGGCATGTCACTAATCATCTGGGAAGTGCATACTAAACCACATTAAAATGTCACCTCACACCTGCTAGAATGACTATTATCCAAAAAAAAAAAAAATATATATATATATATATATGTATATACACACATATATATAAAACAAGTGTTGGTGAGGATGTGGAAAAATTGGAACCATTTTACATGGTTGGTGGAAACAAATTAATACAGGCATTATGAAAACAATATGGAGACCTAAAAAAATTAAAAACAGAGCGATCACATGTTTCAGCAATCCCACTACTGAGTACATGTCCAAAGGAAAGAAAATCAGTATGTCAAAGGAGTATCTGCATTCCCATGTTCATTGCCGCACTATTCACAATAGCCAAGGTATAAAATTTACCTAAGTGTTCATCAGTAGATAAATGGATAATGAAAATATGGTGTATATACACAATGGAATATTATTCAGCCTTAAAAAGAAGAAAATTACATCATTTGTAATAAAATGGAGGAAGCTGGAAGACATTACATTAAGTGAAATAAGCCAGTCACAGAAAGACAAACACTGCATGATATTACTTATATGTAGAGTGTAAGAAAGTCAAACTCATAGAAACGGAGAGTAAAATGGTGGTTTCCAGAGGCTGAGGGGTGGAGAAAATTAGGAAGATGTTAGTCAAAACACACAAAATTTCAGTGAGACAGCAGGAATAAGTTCAAGAGATTTATCATACATCACAGAGACTACAGTTAATAACAATATATTGTATACTTGAAAATTGCTAAGAGATTAAAGTGTTCTCATCACAAAAAAAATTATAAGTATGTGAGGTAATGCATATGTTCAATAGCTTGATTTAGCCATTCCCTAATGAATACATATATCAAAACATAGTGTTGTACACCATAAATATTTATAATTTTTACTTGTTAATTAAAATATTTTTTAAAAGAAAAGACATTCTGACATATGCTACAAAATAAATCAACCTGAAAACGTTATGCTAAGTGAAATAAACCAGTCACAAAGACAACTATTGTAGGTTTCAATTTATATGGAGTATTTAAAGTAGTCAAAATCATAGAGACATAAAGTAGAATGGTGGTTGCCAGGGGCTAGGGAGTGAAGGGAATGGGGAGTTATTGTTTAATGGGTATAGAGTTTCAGTTTTGCAAGATTAAAAGTGTTCTGGAAATGAATAGATGATGATAGATGTACAACAATATGAGTGTACTTAATACCACTGAATGTACACTAAAAATGGTTAAGAAGGTAAATTTTATGTTACATGGATTTTAACACAATAAAAAATTGAAAAAAATAAAAGTAGGTATAAAGACTTTCCCAGACAAACAAAAGTTCAGAGAGTTCATCTTCAGTAGACCTGCCTTACAAGAAATGGTAGAGTTCTTAGAGTTGAAACAAAAGGACACTAACCAGTAACATGATAGCATAAGAAAAAGTAGAAAACTCATTGGTAAAGGTAAATATGTAGACAAATACAGAATACTGCATTACTGTAATGGGGTGGAAAATCACCCCATTAATTCTAGCATAAAAGCTAAAAGACAAAGTATGAAAAATAAATATAACTAAAACCATGATAAAAGATATACAATATGAATACACATAAATTGTGACAAGAATAATATATGAGGGGTTAAAGTGTAGAGTATGTGATTGAACTTAAGTTGTTATCAGCTTAAAATAGACTGCTATAACCATATTTTATGTAAGCCCCAAAGTATGTATGTAACCACAAAGAAGATTTTTTATGTAACCACAATAAAGTCCCTATAGAAATTACACAAAGAAAATAAAGAATAAAATCAAGCATATTATCTTAGTTTATTTGGGCTGCTATAACAAAATACCTTAGACTTGGCAATTTACAAATAACAGAAATTTATTGCTCACAGTTCTGCGGACTAGAAAGTCTGAGATCAAGGCATCAGCAGATTCAGTGTCTGGTGATGTGTCAGTCTCTGCTTCAAAGATGATGCTTGCTCACTGCACCCTCACATAGTAGAAGGGGTGAATAAGCTCCCTTAGGCCTCTTTTACAAAGGCACTAATCCATTCATTAGGGTGGAGCCCTCATTATCCAATCATCTCCCAAAGGCTCCACACTTTAATATTATTGAATTGGGTATTAGGATTCAACATATAAATTTTGGAGGGAAACAAACATTCAGATCATAGCACATATTAATGCAAAAACTTTACAAAACATAAAGAAAGACAGCAAGAGAGAAAAAGAAAAGGGAACTACAAGACTGAGAGAAAACAACTAGTAAATGCCTATAGTAAATCCTTTCCTATCAATATTACTTTAAATGTAAATTGATTAAATTCCCCCAATCAAAAGACAAACAGTGAGTAATGGACTTTTTTTAAAGACCCAACTATGTGCTGCCTACAAGAAACTCACTTTAGATATAAAAACACACATAAGTTGAAACTGAAGCCAAGAAAAAAGTATTCCATGCATATGGTAATCAAAAGAGAGTAGGAGTGGCTGTACTTATATCAGAAAAATAGACTTGAAGTCAAAAATTGTCAAAAGAGACAAAGAAGGACATTATATGATGAAAAGGGTCAGTCCATAGGCTGTAATACCAATATAAGAGCACTTAAATATATAAAATATTGACAAAACTGAAGGGAAAAACAGACAGCAATACAATAATAGTAGAATTCAGTACCCTACTTTCAATAATGAACAGAATATCCACACAGAAGATCAATAAACAGAGGACCTCAATCGCATTATAAAACAAATGGACCTAACAGACATGTACAGAACATTCCATCCAACAGCAGCATAATACACATTATTTTCAAGTACACATGATTCTTTCTGCAGAGCAGGTCACATGTTAGGTCACAAAATAAGTCAACAAATTTAAAAAGATTGAAATCTTACCAAAGATTGACCATTATGGTCAACCTTTTCTGACCACGATGGAATGAAACGAGAAATCAGTAGCAGAAGGAAAACTGAAAAATTCACAGATATATGGAAACTAAACAACATACTTATAAACAACAATTGAGTTACGAGGAAATCAAAAGGAAATTAGAAAATATCTCAATACAAATAAAAATGAAAACACAACATACCACTGCCTATAGGGTATAGCAAAAGCAGTAGTAAGAGAGAAGTTTATGGTGATGAACATCTACATTACAAAAGACAAAATGTCTCAAATAAACAACCTAACTTTATACCTCAAGGAACTAGGAAAAAACAATAAATTAGTTCCAAAGTTAGCAGAAGGTAGGAAATAACAGATTATTACCCAGAAATAAATGAGAGAGAAAATATAAAAACAATAGAAAAAAATCAATGAAACTGAGAGTTGGTTTTTTAAAAGATAAATAAAAGTGACAAACTTGTAGCTAGACTAAGAAAAAACACTCAAATAAATAAAATCAGAACTGGAAAGAGGAAACATTACAACTCTTGCCACAGAAATAAAAAGGATCCTAACAGACTGCTATGAACAATATCCAACAAACTGGATAACCTAGAAGAAATGATAAATTCCTAGAAACATATAACCTACCAATACTAAACCATAAGGAAATATAAAGTCAAAACCGACACATAACTAGTATGGAGATTGAATCAGTAATCAAAAACCTCCCCAAAAATCAAGCTCAATACCTGTAGAGTCACTGGTAAACTCTATCAAACATTTAAAGAAGAATTAATGCCACTCCTTCTCAAACTCTTCCAAAAAATTAAAGAGGAGAGAACACTTCCAAACTTATTTTATGAGGCTAGCATTACCTTGATTCCAAAGCCAGACAAAGACAACACAAGAAAGAAAACCTACAGGCCAATATTCTCAATGAATATAGATGCAAAAAAGCCTCAACAAAATACTAGCAAACTGAATTCAATGGCACATTAAAGGGATTATACACCATGACCATATGAGACTTATCCCAGAGATGTAAGGATGGCTTAATGTCGAAAAAGCAAGTAATTTAATATACTACATTGACATAATAAAAAATAAAATCACATCATCATTTTAATAGATGCAGGAAAGGCATGTGACAAAATTTGACATTGTTTCATGAAAAAAACTGTCAACATACTAGGTATAGGAGGAATCTACTTCAACATTATAAAGGTCATATATAAAAAGTCCATAGCTCACATTATACTCAATGGTGAAAAACTGAAAGCTTTTCCTCTAAGATGAGAAACATGGCAAGGATGCCCACTCTTGCCAGTTCTATTCAACATAGCACTAGAAGTCCTAGCCAGAGAAATTAGACAAGAAAAAATAAACATAAAGATTCAAACTGGAAAGGAAGAAGTAAAATTATTCCTATTTGCAGATGACATTATGTTATATAGAGAAAACTTTAAAGACTCAATTTTAAAAAAAAAACTGTTAGAATAAGCAGTTAATAATAATAAATAAATTCAGTAAAGTTGCAGTTAACATACAAAACTTAGTAGTATTCCTATATACCAACAACAAAATAAATTGTTAGAATAAACAGTTAACAGTAATAAATTCAGTAAAGTTGTAGTCAACATACAAAACTTAATAGCATTCTGATACACTAACAACAAATATCTGAAAAGAAATTTAAGAAAACAATTTCACTCATAATAGTGTCAAAAAGAATAAAATACATAAAGATAAACTTAACTACAAGGTGGAAAACTTATACTGAAAACTACAAAATATTGATGAAAGAAAACTAAACAAGACACAAACAACTGGAAAGCACTCCATGTTTATGGATTAGAAGAGTTAATATTGTTAAAATATTCATACTACCCAAGGCAAACTACACATTCAATGCACTCCCTATCAAAATCCCAATGGCATTTTTACAGCAATAGAAAATTTTTTTTATTCATGTGGAACTACAAAAGACCATAAACAGCTAAATCATTCTTGAGAAAGAAAAACAAAGCTGGAGGCATCATAGTTTTTGACTTCAAAATATGTTACAATGCTACAGTAATCAAAACAGTATGGTACTGGAATAAAAAAAGACATATAAACCAATGGAACACAATAGGGAATCCAGAAATAAATATATGCATATACAGTGAAATGATCTTCAACAAGAGTGCCAAGATACACAATAGGGAAAAGACAGTCTCTTCAATGGTGTGGGAAAACTGGATATCCACAATCGAAAGAAGAAAATGAGACTCCTATTATATGCCATACACAAAAATCAACCCAAAATACATTAAAGGTAAAACCCCAAACTGTAAAACTCTCAGAAGAAAACATAGGAGGAAAAGTCTCTAGACATTAGTCTTGGCAATAATTTCATGGATATAACACCAAAACTACAGGCAACAAAAACAAAAATAAACAGCACACCAAACTAAAAAGCTTCTGCATATCTGAGGAAACAATCAACAGAGGAAAAAAGGCAACCTACAGAACAACCAACCTACAGAGTGCTATTTGCAAACCATATATCTGATAAGTAGTTAATATCCAAAATACATAAGGAATTCCTACAACTCAAAATTCAAGAGTAAAACAAAAACAAACAAACAAAAACCCCAACTAATAACCCAATTTTTTAAATGGGCTGAGGACTTGAATAGACATTGCTCCACAGAAGACTTAAAAATGGCCATTAGGTATAAAAAAAGTTTTCAATGTCACTAAACATCAGGGAAATGCAAATCAAAAGAACAATGACTATCACCTCACACCTGTTAGAGTGGTTATTATGAAAAAACAAGACTACAAATAATGGTGAGGTCGTGGAGAAACTGAAACTCTTGCACACCACTGGTGGAACGCAAGGTGGTACAGCTGCTGTAGAAAACCATATGGAAGTTGCTCAAAAAAATAAAAATAGAGCTACCACATGATCCAGAAATCCCACTTCTGGGTATTTTACCTTTGAGAAATTTAGGAGTGCTAATATATTGTTTGTTTGTTTTTGAGACAGAGTTTCGCTCTTGTTGCCCAGGCTGGAGTGCAATGGTGCAATCTTGGCTCACCACAACCTCCGCCTCCCGGGTTCAAGCAGTTCTCATGCCTCGGCCTCCCAAGTAGCTGGGATTACAGGAATGAGCCACCATGCCCAGCTAATTTTGTATTTTTAATAGAGACGGAGTTTCTCCATGTTGGTCAGGCTGGTCTCGAACTCCCGAGCTCAGGGGGTCTGACCACCTCAGCCTCCCAAAGTGCTGGGATTACAGGTGTGAGCAACCATGCCTGGCCAATATATCCTTGAGATCCTAATTTCACTTCTTTTGGCTGGGTATTTTTGCCAAAAGAATTGAAATTAGGATTTCAAAGATATATTAGCACGCCTATGTTCACTGCAGCACTATTCACAATACCCATGATGTGGAAACAGCCTAAATGTTTATTGACAGATGAATGGATAAAGAAAATGTGGTATATATACACAATGGAAAACTATTCAATCTATAAATAAAGGAAATTCAACAATGTGAAACAACATGGGTAAGCCTTAAAGATATTATGCTCAGTGAAATAAGCCAGCCACAGAAAAACAAACACTGCATGATTCCATTTATATGAGGTATCTAAAAATAGTCAAATTCATAGAATCAGAGAGCAGAATTGTGGTGCCAAGGACTGGGGGTTGTGGGAAATAGGGAGTTACTAATCAATGGGCATGAAGTGTCAGTCAAGCATGATGAATAAGCTCTAGAAATCTGCTGTACAATATTTTACTTATCGTCAACAGTAATGTATTGCACACACTTAAAAATGTTTTAAGAGGGTAGTTCTCATATTAAGTGTTCTTACCATGATAAAATAAAATGAAAATGAAAGAAAGATAAATCAATTCAGTGAATAAATTAACAAGTACTCTTGAGTCCCCATGGGTGAAGCCAAGGACACATATAGATTGGGGTTTTGTTGTCACGGGGCATTTTGACTTGTATATGTGTTTACCTACTCAATATGTGTTACAGTATATGCTATTTCTCATTTCCTACATTTCTATTCCAATGACTTCATGGTAAGCTTCTGACGAAATGGCGTGGCTATGCTAGTGAAGATAATATTCCTTGAAACTACTTACTTGATATTGCAATAATTTCTCCCTACAAACATGCTAACTATAGCTCCTGAATGTATAAGAAACCATGAGGTTTTTTTATTATGTATGTGTGCATGTGTATAAACATTTCATGTAGAACTTGGAAGCTATAATTTCTAAATTCATTAACATGGTGGCTGCCCAGCTATAGTAAATTATATGCCTTCTTCCTCTTCGGGCCAAGCCCACAATGGTATGTGCTACATGATCGTTAGTGCCCCTCTCACCATAGCTCTTTGATCCAAAGTGACCCACATTGGCTCAATCAGACTTTCTCCTAGAAGAATTGGGAATCTGCTGCTAAAAGACCCAGCACCCCTAGAGCTGAGTCATTTGACATGGTCTGTACATTTCCATGGCATCTCACGTTCCCAAGACCTACCTATTCAACTCTTTCTTAGATCCTATGAGAGTCTTCCAGATCATTTTAATAAATTCCCTATTTTTAAGGTCACTTTCTGTGACTTCTCACCAAAAGAAACTCTTTAACTAACGTAGCAGCAGTGTTATAGAAAACTATCAGTATTATACTTTCCTTATTGGTTCAAATTTCTCAAAGGTAAAGGAAGACAATACACCTTGAAGTCCCACTTTAATGATTTTCTTAGGTACCATGCTGTTGGATCTAACAAAACTGTAGAAGAAGAAAGTAGACTGAAGGAACTACAGGATCTTTCATGCCAATAGAGCAATTCTATATATATATATCCGTAACATACAACCTAGTCCTAAGTGAAAAGCCTATGATGCAGTTCATCAGGTTCTTCCAGCAGTGGCCAGCCATGCTTTGAATACCAACCATTTTCTCAGAATCCTTTCTAGATTGAGAAACAATATATACTGTCATGTGTCCCTTAATGACAGGGATATATGGTAATAAGTGCTTTGTTAGGCAATCTTGTCATTGTAAGAACATCATAGAGCATATTTACACAAATATAGATGGTATGGCCTACTATACACCTATGCTACATGGTATGGCCTATTGCTTCTAGGTTTTAAATCTGTACAGCATGTTACTGTATTGAATACTGTAGGCAATTGTAACACAATGCTAATGATTTGTGTATCTAAACAGATATAAACATAGAAAAAGTATAGTAAAAGAAATCTAAAAGATTAAAAATGGAAGCCGGGGGCAGTAGCTCACACCTGTAATCCCAGCATTTTGGGAGGCCAAGGCGGGTGGATCACAAGGTCAGGAGATCGAGACTATCCTGGCTAACACAGTGAAACCCCATCTCTACTAAAAATACAAAAAAAATTAGCCGGGCATGGTGGCGCATGCCTGTAGTCCCAGCTACTTGGGAGGCTGAGGCAGGAGAATGGTATGTACCCGGGAGGCTGAGCTTGCAGTGAGCTGAGATGGCGCCACTGCACTCCAGCTTGGGAGACACAGCCAGACTCCGTCTCAGAAATAAATAAATAAATAAATAAAATAAGTAAAATAAAGATTAAAAATGGTACACCTGTATAGGGCATTTACCATGAATGGCGCTTGCAGGACTAGAAGTTACTCTGGGTAAGTCAGTGAGTGAACATGAAGGCCTAGGACATTACTGCACACCACTGTAGACTTCATAAACACTGTACACCTAGGCTACACTAAATTTATTAAACAACAGTTTTCCTTTTTCAATAATAAGTTAACTTTAGCTAACTGTAACATTTTTACTTTTTAATTGTTTTAACTTTTTGACTTGTAATAACACTTAGCTTAAAACACAAACATATTACATACCTATACAAAAATATTTTTTATTTACATTCTCATTCTATAAGCTTTTTTCTATTTTAAATTTTTTAACTTATTAAACTTTTTTGTTAAAAACTAAGCACAAACACACACATTAGCCCATGCCTACACAGGGACAGGATCATCAATATCCCTGTCTTCCAGCTCCACACCTTATCCCCTGGAGAGTCTTCAGGGGAATAACACGCATGGAGTTGTCACCTTCTATGTTAACAATGCCTTCTTCTGGAATACCTCCTGAGGACCTGCCTGAGACTGTTTTACAGCTAACTTTTTTTAAATAAGCAGGAGTACATCCTAAAATAACAATAAAAAGTATAGTTTACTAAATATATAATCCAGTAACATAGTTGCTTATTATCATTATAAAGTATTATGCACTATATGTAATCGCATTGCTATACTTTTATACAACTGTAGCACAGTAGGTTTGTTTATACCAGCATCACCACAAACACATGAGTAATGCATTACATTATGATGTTACCACCACTAGGCCACAGGAATTTTTTAGCTCCATTATAATCTAAAAGACCACCATCATATAATATGCAGACTGACTTTAACTGAAACATTATTATGTAGCACGACTCTCTCTCTCTCTCTCTCTCTCTCTCTATATATATATATATATATGTATATTTTGTTTTGTTTTGTTTTTGTATTTGTTTTTGTTTTTTTTGAGACAGTCTCGCTCTGTTGCCCAGGCTGGAGTGCAATGGTGCAATCTTGGCTCACTGCAACCTCCGCCTCCTAGTTCAAGCAATTCTCATGCCTCAGCCTCCCAAGTAGCTGAGATTACAGGCACCCACAAGCACACCTGGCTAATTTTTTGTAGAGATGGGGTTTCACTATGTTGGCCAGGCTAGTCCTGAACTCCTGAACTCAGGTATTTCACCTGCCTTGGCCTCCCAAAGTGCTGGGATTACAGGCATGAGCCACTGCACCCAGCAGCACATGACTATATATTTTATATTGCATATATATATAATATATATATATGTATATATATATATTATATATATATGTATATATATATAATATATATATATGTATATATATATATTATATATATATGTATATATATATATACATGCAAACTTGATTTTATAATTTAATCACAGTAGTAAGCCAATAAGAAATGTTTCTAAATTCTGGAGTATAAAAGTCTCTAATAATGTATTATTCTACCATATATGCAGTTTATACTTTTATGTTACTGATGCTAAAGGATCTTTTAAGTGTCCTTAAAACTGACCTTTTTGCATCATATATCAAAATCCCTAGTTAGTTGAAATAATCTTACTAACAACCAATGTTTAAGGATAACTTTCAGTATCTGATATTTATTGATACAAACACAAGAAGAAAAATTTTATTTCTGCATGTATGAGTGAATATTTTATTTTTTAAAAAACCCATTAAACGCCTGTAAATCCCAGCACTTTGCGAGGCCAAGGCAGGTGAATTACCTGAGGTCAGGAGTTCGAGACCAGCATGGCCAACATGGTGAAACCCCGTCTCTACTAAAAATACAAAAATTTGCCAGGCATGGTGGTGCATGTCTGTAATCCCAGCTGCTGGGGAGGCTGAGGCAGGAGAATCGCTTGATCCCAGGAGGCAGAGGAGGCAGAGGCTGCAGTGAGCCAAGATCACACCACTGCATTCCAGCTTGGGCGACAGAGTGAAACTCCATCTCAAAAACATAAAATTAAATTAAAATTAAATAAAATAAAGTAAAATAATAAATAATAACTCATGAAAATCTTTCCTCTATTTATTTTTAATAAATATGCAAGTAAGAAGACATTGAAGTTTTATTAGATGTTTCCTTTGGTATTTTTGTTTTGATTTGAAAATGCTTAAGATACTTAGAAAATTATCGAATCGTACACTGCAGCAGAAAGTAGTAAAAGTAACTTAAACTTGCAAGTCTTGTGTGTTATCAGTGGCACCAAATGTATCCATGAAACTGCTCTGCTCAGGATGATGGACAAAGGAACTCATCTTCACCATCAGCACCGGATTCTTCCCCAGCCTCCACTGAGCATACCTGTTGGCAATCCTCCTGATTTCTATAGCAAATGAATTTTTAACAATATCCCATAAGGATTTGCAGTAGAATATACAAGTAGCCAAAATTTTCAACAAAGCCTTTGTAGATAAAAGTGAGTCTCTGGGTTAATGGTAAGAGTCCCATGAAAGGAAATTTGCCATGGACTTCCCAAAAATGAGACTGCTCTTTTCCACTAAGAGAGACTAATAATGGCCTTTGAAACATTAACTATTTACTTAAATTTAGAGAAATCGGTGTTACCAAAAACTTTCAGCAAATAAAATTGAATCTACTTCAGAGAACAGTGGTACTGGCTGAAAACCATAGTTTACATTCCATCTTCAAAGTGAGATAATGCAGGAATGCCAAAAATTCAGCAGAGCCTTCTCAAGTAACAATCTTGTCCTGAAGAAACCATTGGGATTTTGAGCTGTGGAATTTTCCATCCATTTATCCTCTCATTATCTATCTTTTTTGCTTCAAATGTCAATTGACTCCTCTCACTCATAGTTGTACAAATTACAGGGCTTTTTTTTAATTGTCATAAAACATATACATTATTCATCTATTCAGTTTCATCTGAAGAGAATCCAACAAAGAAGAAATTTTATTTTCCAATAAAATATTAAAGCTGCTTTACCCCACAAGAGACAGAGCAGAAATTCCATCCATGATCTATGTAAGTACAAAACTTTTTGCCTATCAGAGCATGTGTGAATTTAATTTTATGAAAATGTAGACCTGTTTTTTCCTGTTATGCTTCATAGTACTTGTGTATGAATATGTAACAATTTCAATGTTTTTATTAGTTTGTGAAGCCTTGGTACCATGATGACAACAAGAACATCCTGTGCTTTTCCTAGCAAATATTGACTTAGAAGGACACTGTTGATATTTGTGCTGCATCCTTAATGGAAAGCACGTACATATTACAAGATTTGTTTCCCTCTAATGTAAATACAGTGGAGCAGAAAATTCAAGTGGTGATTATACACACGTCATTACCTTTGCCTCTGGGTTATGGATTGAACTAGAACCCAGGTTAAGGTCATCATGACCCCCCCCCACCCCGCCCCTTATCGGGCACTTCTATCACTAATGAAAAGAGGGTGTGCCAAGCTCAACACACACACACATCTTTCTAATTAACAGAATCCCGCTCTGATTCATAAAAGTCCTATCTAAAAGGGAGGGAGAAATGATGTTAGCATTGATACAGAGGTACATGTCAGCTCAGTGCACAAACATAGGTAAATTATGTAAGGATAAATCTTTCTCTTTTCCAGGAGACAGTTCACCACTCTCCCTCTGTAAAAGGATTGTGGGAGACACATAGGTAGTAAGGAGAAACCTCCATCTATCTCCCAACGAACCTCTGTGTCCCCATGTTCCACCCAACTCTCCATGATTGAATAATTAAGCCCTTAAGTAGTTACCATATGTCCTTAAATAGTTACAATCAACCTCAAATGAAAACACTCAGCAAAAAAAAGATGTGGGATCAATGCTCTTGGTCCAAAGATAAAAGATACATTATGAAAAACATAGGAATGACTTTATAAACAAAACAGAACTTTCTCAACAATCTTATTAACCAATACTCTTTCATCGTAAGTGATCACGGTTATTTGGCGTCAGAAGCAAAATATGGAGAGATCTTTCTGCAGACAAGTGGAGACAAGGCACAATAAAGGGAGAGTTAGGTGTGTAAAGAAAGTGATGAAATGGACATACTTTAGTGTTTAATTCATAAGGAAGAAAATACATCAACTAGAGCAGAGATTTAACCCCTTCTGGGTGGAATGTCAAATACACATATAAACAATTATTTCTGTTCCTTTCAGCATCAATGCACTCGATATAGTTTGAACTTTTATCTCAGTACTTGGGTTTGTTTCAAGGCTTGGTAAATATGCACCTCATAAGATAGTTTTATATATGAAAAGTTACAAATTCCAATGTCTGTAACTATTTGAAAAGCTCATTGATTCCGAGTCAAGGAAGTTACAATTTCTGATGATTCCATTTCAAACCGTACCCAAACCTACCATTAAACTCACATATGGGCAGAATTTCTGGGACTCACACTTTATGGGGGGTGAGAAGGGTGGTCCTGAACTAGCTGATATTAAACGGCCCTACATTCAAATACAGTGAACCCAGACCACATTCCAACAGCATTACCCAAGTGGTGAGGCTGAACTCTTCTGCAGATGCTTGTACACAAGACTTCATGTTTATTTTGTGACGTCACCTTCCTCTTTCCCCATTTCAAGTTGACCTTGTGTCGATTTTAACCTGGTTTTGTCTGTATAAACATGTTGGGATAAAGGAAAGAACTGTAGGATTTTTGGACCTCATATTCCTTAGTGGAGGACTTTGTATTACCTTTGATAAACGGGTTTGCTAAAACAAATATTTTAAGAAGTGGGAGAGAGAAAAGAGGGAGAGCAGGAGTGGTTATTTAGTTTCCTTGTTTTTCCCCAAGTTAAAAAGTCTTGAAGGACTAGCTCATCTTATGTTTATATACAAATAAAACTGATAAAAATGTGTGACTTTTGTTTATCCCTGGAAATCGAGCAAGGCAGGGAAGGAAGGGAACTGAGTGTGACAGGACAGCCTAGGTCCACAGAGCATAAGAAGGATGTGAGAGGATGTGATAAATTGGTAACCATGTAGAACTAGAGCAAACCCTCAAGGTCAACCACTTCAACCCAATTGTTTTAGAGTTGAAAACTGAGGTTCAAGGAGAATCTTTGCCCCAAAACAAATAACTGAACTACTAGAGTTATTATATAAAAATGATCATTGTAAACATTTTTAATAAGAACAACAAAAATCGAAATGTAACTTATCGGCCATTTGCTAACTGTGTTACGTGGAGCAAGTTACTTAAGCTTTCTGTGCCTCAGTCTCAACATCTGCAAAATTGAGATAATAATGGTGTCTATTCATAGGCTTGCCGGAAAGATCAAATCAGTTAATACCTGTAAAGTGTCTAGAACAGAACCTGGAAACAATCAGTGTTTGATAAATATCAATTGTTTATTATCATTATTATTATTATTACTACCACTACTACTGATTTCAGACAAGCCTTTCTCAAGTAAGTGAGATTTTGTTGATGAACTGGAAAACTCAATCCATTGTGGATTGGAATGTTGCCGTGACATGAACATCAGCTTTTAAGGATACACTAGGGCAGAGTCCAGCATCAGCTTAGAGCCAAACAAAGGAGGGAAGTAGGGACAGTCTTATCTCCATGACTAATACTCATTTTTAAAAATACTTAAATATCAATTTTCATGTTGCATTTTTAAAAACTCCAAGAATGGAATTGAAAACCCAATCTTTTTTAAGTCTGTTTCAATTTTTAGAAACCTTGACCAAGCCACTCTCTCTTACTTGGTAGTTTCCATATATAGCATAAATAACAATCTTAGCCAGGTGTGGTGGCTTGTGCCTGTAGTCTCAGCTACTTGGGAGGTTGAAGTGGGAGGATCAATTGGGCCCGAGAGGTCAAGTCTGCAGTGAGCCATGATCATGCCACTGCACTCCAACCTGGGCAACAGAGTGAGACCCTGTCTCAAAAAATTAATTAATTAATTAAATAACAATCTTTACCTGAATTGTAAAGATTAAATGTACCTGAAAGCATTTCTGGGTTATAAATTTTGCAGAGAATTGTACATTCTTTAAAGACACCATGCATTACAATTATAAAATATTTATCTTACCTTGAGATCACTGGGGGGCAAAATGTCATTTTTGTTTTTTTCCAAGGGCTTAGCATTGACCATGGAAATAGCATATGTAATCAGAATATTCACGGAAAATCTGTTCAAAAGAAAGAACTCCGAGCCGGGAATTGGAGGTCTGGGTTCTAGCCCCAGTTTTCTCATGGACACCTTCATATAGCTCTGGGCAAGTCATTTAGACTTCTTGGCACCATTTCCTTTACTGTAAAACACAGGGTGCATTAGCTGATCTCTTCCCCTCTAGTTCTATAATTCTAAATGTCATGCATATGTTTGCATGAATCCATGAGTCACTAAAACCTAGTCAATTTCAGAAAATTATTTAATAAACAAAATGTCTCATAAGCAGTTCAAGAGATCTTGGAACTGACTTTCAAATCATTGCATAATTGTGTTCAGGCAAAGACTTCAAACCCAGGAAGAACATCTTGGAATCGTTTCACCATTCTGCAGTGGAGAAAGGCTGTGAATTCACATATTCACACTCATTTAAACATCTCTCATTAATCTCTGAGGGCACTTAATAAAGATAAAAGGGTATTGCCTCTTTCAAAATGAAATAAAAGTATAAGAGCATGCTATATTTCTATAACATTCTCAGCATCTCAAAATGCTGTGATAACAATGTTACCTTTTTTTTTATTTCTCTCACTTCTGATTTGATCAATGTAACAACTTTGTGAAAGAGGCTAGACCCAGGAATTATTGTACTCATATTACAAATAAATATCCTGGGGACTAAATAAAATAACTTGCTTCCCACTTAGAGCTGCTGGTCCTCACACTTGGATCTCCTAACTCAGATGACACCTGACCCAGCCTGGGAGTGACCTCTGCGTTGCAGCTCATATGCACATCGACCATGTGCCTGCCTCACTGCTATAAGTAAGATCAGTCCCTAGTAAGGCCTGGCGAAGCTCCCCGTCAGAAACAAAAAGTCCTCCTTTTATTTTCCACCCCAAGTCACTGTCTGGGAACCTCTACAGAACTGAAGGGGTGTGGCCCTTTTGAAGGACTTCCATGAACAAAAAGGTTCCCAGATAAGAACAATAGACTTATTGATGACCAAATCTGAACCTGCTTACCATGCTCTGTGGTTTCTCCCTGTAAACGTTTTTCCCATAATCCAGTGGCTGCTTTGGAAGAGTTGTCCAGAACACTTTCATCAGGGCTATTTTTTCACCCTATGATTCTGGCCATCATCCAGTTTATTTTTTGAAAAAGAGCAGCCAGGAGTAAATCACATCCCAGAGGAAAAAAAAAATCCTACAAGGTTCAAAACATTTTATATTCATGGGAATAATTAGGAAAATTCTAGAATTATACCTGTTAGCCAATTAAGGAGTGACCAACTTCAAATCACAAATACAGGTTCCTGAAAACAACATGTAATTTTATGTAACTGACTTACCAGCCTGGGGATAGAAACAAGGCCATGATGCATTTGAAGGGCCTGCCCAGGGCTTGGTTGGTAACTAGAATCCAGCAGAGCTGCTGGGCTTGGAAGGAAAGGATTGCACAGAGATTAACTCCACCGAAACATGCCTGTTTTTGCATAATATTTATGTTTCCGCCCTCATAATGGCTTCATTTCATTTATTCTCCAAACCAAATGGCAGAGACAGCTACTCTTTGTGGTACACATGGTTACATTGCTCCTTTTGCCAATTCCATGAGAAGATCATTGTCACTTTTTCTCTGGCTATTGAAAACAAAATAAACATAGGTCTGAATCTTTGACTCATTTTTCACTTAGAATGGAAGATATTGGTAGCCATATATATCATTTCACTTAATTCAGATCCGCAAATATTGAGAAACTTCTATGGGTAAGCCATCATGTTAAGTGCTTCAGGGACCTAAATCTGAGCAAGACGCAACCCCAGTTCACAAAATGCTAAATGAAGTGGCCGATTGCTGGGAAATACTGCAGGGAACTAGGGATCAGAAACAGATTGTGGGGAACCAGAGGGGATGGCAAGTCTTCAAATTACTCTTAAGAATCAAAGGTCTAACAGAAGTAAACCTCATGATCAAATACAACACAGATATAAGGTTAGGGACCACATGAAATTTTCTTGCTCTATAGTACTTAAAATAATTTTTTTTTAAAGTAAGAAAGAGAGGCACTTTGAAGTTCCCAAAATGGAATGGCTCTTAAGTCAAAGGTTGAGCAGACTTTTAATAAACTGGTAATATAGCTATAGATACAGATATAAATTCACAATTTTAAATGACACTTTTGCCTACATCATCCACTTTTGCATACAAAAAGGTGAGGTCCCTCCATGTCAGAAGCACCCCACGAGCAAACACAAGGACTGGGAATTATCAGACAGTCATATGAACTAGTACATAATTTTCCATGCACACAACAAAACTTTAGTGAGTAACTACTGTGTTCTAAGTGTGAAGTATAGGTGATACAAGGATTTTGAGGCACAGATGTCTGCCTTCAAGTGTAACACAGTCTGTAGGAAAGGCTGCCATATGTGGCTCATATATGTCAGATGGTATTAGGAGATAAAGGTGGGAGGCTATGCCAGCATCATGTTAAGAGGGTCCTTAAAAACAGGCTAAGGGTTAGTATTTAATTCAGTGACAATAGAGGATCATTAAAGTTGTTAGGCTAAGGAGTAATATCATCTGGATTGAGTATACAGTTCATTTAAAGTAAAAATATAGAATTCGGCAGGGCTTGGTGGCTCACGCCTATAATCCCAGCACTTTGGGAGTCCAAGGCAGGCGGATCATGAGGTCAGGAGTTCAAGACCAGCCTGGCCAATATGGTGAAACCCTGTCTCTACTAAAAATACAAAAATTAGCCAGGCATAGTGGTGCATGCCTGTAGTCCCAGCTACTTGGGAGACTGAGGCACGAGAATCGCTTGAACCTGGGAGGCGGAGGTTGCAGTGAGCTGAGATCATGCCACTGCACTCCAGCCTGGGTGACAGAGCAAGACTCCATCTCAAAAAAAAAAAAGAAATATATGTGTGTGTGTGTGTGTGTGTGTGTGTGTGTGTGTGTGTGTGTGTGTGTAGAGAGAGAGAGAGAGACAATTCATTCAGAGCAAAATCGAATAAGGAAAAAGACTGGTTTCGAGACAACTGCAAAGCACCCAGGCAAGAGGTAAGAGGAAATATGGTAAGAAGTAAAAGGAAGTATGGTAGCACTCAAGAGAATTAATGAAAAAAGAGGAACTCAACTGAAATTGACAGTGTAGAACACTGACTTGTTTCAGAGGAAAAGAAAATATTTGGTATGGGCCATGCTGAGTTTGAGATGCCATTGGTGTCTAGCCATCAGTTGGATATTCGGGTCTGAGGTACTCGGGTCCTGGCAAGAAAGATACATATGAGTACTATCCTCATGGGAGTGATGGTTAAGGCCACAGGATTGAACAAGATAGCTGAGGTAGCAAGTGTAGGTCTAGAAGCAGGAAGAAGAAAACATTCCGGAGGACACGTACATGTATAGAGAAGTAGAAAGAGAAGTATGTAAAGAGAAAGGAGAACTGAGAAAAGAATGCCAGGGAAGCAGAGAGGGGGATGCTTAAATGAGAGAAGCAACAATCAAATGCTAAGAAGAAGCCAGAGACGCATAGCCTGAGATGAGCACTTGGATCCAGTGCATAGGTCAACAGTTGCCTCTGAAAAAGACACTTTAGTGGGGCTGAGAATAGAAAAGTCAGCATTCAAGATAGTGAAAAATGAGTAGGTACACAGCACAGAAATGGACTTTAGGGAGTTTGATAGAGGATTATAGAATGAAGATGGAAATGACAAGGGAAGAATTGATGGGGAAAGGTCAAGGGAATCAGGCTGGCAGTTAGAGGGGTTAACCTGACAAAGAAAAAGGACACATACTCCTCAGAAGCAAATTAGAAAGAAGAAAGCATAGGAAGGGGCAGTGAAAATACAAAGATTCTCTCCCTAGACCCTGTCACCCATGCCTATGGGCACAATTACCGCCTCTCCTGGAATTACCCACAAATGTCTGTCTGTCTGCTGCCCTAACCTCTTCCTGAGCTCCTAAGCTATATATAAAACTACCTACTAGAAAACACGTGGATACCTTCAAGGCTCCTCAACTTCAACCTGCCCAAATCAAATTCATGACCTTTTCTTCCAAACAGTGTCATCCTGTACTGTTCCCTGCCCGATAAATGATATCATTATCCATCAAAACTGCCAAAGTTCAAAAGTCAGGACTTGCTTCTACACCTCTATTGCTCTCAACTTCACCCCCAACCAAAGGGCTTTTAATTTGTCTCCTCAAATCTGCTTTTGCCCCCTTCTAAGCTCTGCACTGCAGCTAGAGTGACCTTTTCAAAACTCAACTCTGATCATGGTCACTCCTGCTTAGATCCCTGCAGTGACTTCCTCTTGGGCAGGGCCACAGTCTGACTTGACTGTTCAGGCAATATGTGGCCTGGCTCTGCCCACCTCCCTGCCTCACCCCACATTCTCCCCCACCCACATGCCCTGGCTAGTGTGTCTTCTCTGTGCTTCCTCACATAATTCCAGTTCTCTTCCACCTCTGGGCTCTGCACATGCTGTTCCACCTGCCTGGTACTTCCTTCCCACCATCCTTTCCACCTGGTTAACTTCTACTTCAGGGAGAATAGAAGACAGCATTATATCATGGTGATTAGGACCCCAGGCTTTGGAATCAAACTGAGTTCCAAAACCCACTCCTCTACTCACCCACTGGGGGGTCCTAAACAAGTTATATACTGTATCTAAGCCTAAGTTTCTCACCTGTATGTTAACATGAGTCCATACTTCACAGAGATTATTCATAGAAAGCACTAAAATCTGAGACTGGCACATAATGCCCACTTCGTAAATGTCTGCAATTTTTTGTTAATCTTTTTTCCAGCCATGGGTCAATCATCACTTCATGAAGAAGCCTCTGCCCAGGTCACCACCCCTTCCTCTGCACCCGCAGTCTCCTTTTTTGCACCCAACACAGATTTACTTCTGCACTTACGTATGAGATTTTTAGAATACACCTGTCTTCTCCACCAGAAGGCTCATTGACAGCAGGATTCGCCTGCTTTGCTCGTGCAGAGAGCCCAGCCTCTAGCACAATACCTGACACAGAGTAGACACTCTACCAGTACTTCCTCAATGAAGGAATGAATGAATGAGCAAACCACAGTAGCCCAGCTGTGGTTAGAGTGGAAGTAAGCATATCCAGCTTGTCCTGTAAGCAACAGCCCAGTATTTGGTCATTTGGCCATTGCGTCCTTGCATTAGTGGGGGCCTGATGAGCAGTTTGTCATCTCATCTATGAATGCCAGTAAATCATTATCAGCAATATTTATTTTTTAAAAACTAGGCGAGCCTGAGGTAAAATTCATATTTTTGCAGGCCTCGTTGGCCAAGGACATTCGGTCTTCCCTGGCTGAGGCTGATGAAGATGATGACAGCAGAGATGATAATGTTGTAATTAACAAAGCTTATGAATATTAGCACATTAAACTCTAGAACACTTTGGTCTAATAAATGGGACATACAGAACAGAAGCTCCTGAAGGTCATCTCATATGCCAAGTGAGAAATAGGGAGAGAGCCCTGTCACTTGCTCTCTTTGGCGCATCTTAATTTCTGTGTTGTAGATACATACACACACGCCTCACCAGGTCCCTGTGCCTGGATGTGACCTTCCATGGTCTTCTGACTATTAACTGTGACATATGAAGTTCATGAGTCAGACCCCATAGTCTGCATCCCTGCTTATCACTACGTGACCTTCCCTCCCCTCAGGTCTCTTCCAAAGAAGACCACTGAGTTGGCTCACACTTTATTTTAGGGAATGTTTTCTGACTACTTCTCTTGGTGTCTGTTAATGGGCAAATATCAAATCCATGGGAAATTCCTACACAGTTCTCAACAAATATGAGGAAAAGCAAACGAAAGATCCCTATAACTCTTTATACATCGCCTTTACAGCATGTAAACCCTTTGATTAACATCTCCTGGCCGTGTGCAGTGGCTCACACCTGTAATCACAGCACTTTGAAAGGCTGAGGTGGGAGGATCACTTGAGCCCAGGAGTTTGAGACCAGCTTGAGCAACATAGTGAGACCAATATCAATCGAGAAAAATGACGAGACAAGTCTCAATCATTTTAGGAGGTTTATTTGCCACAGTTAAGGATGTATGCCCGGGAGACAGGTCTATGCCTTTCTCTGAAGATGATTCTGAGGGCTCCAAATTTAAAGGGGAAAGGGCAGGATATTCAGAAGTACACAATTTTCATGTAAGAGCGGGGGTAGGGAAAAATAGTCGTTCATGCCTTTGTCCGGCTCAGTGACTCTGCATTTTTTTATATAAGGTGATATAGACAAATGGGGCAGAGGAAAAATGCAGGGTATCTGTATTTTACATAAGATAACATAGACAAAATGGGGCAGGAGAACAATCAGATATGCCTTTGTGTCTGGTGGGCAGGGAGATGACTGCACCTGTAAGGATAAGCTATAAATTTACATTGCAATGGCGAAATTGTGAAATTTTAACAGAAACACCTTAAAAGATCTTGAAGCTCACTAGGAATTTCCTTGTGGGCAAAATATGGCAGAGATGTATAGCTTTTCATCTTGTAGCCATCTTATTTAGGAAGCAAAAAGGTGGAAGCAGGTTGCATCATCCAGTTCTCGGCCCAGCTTTTCCCTTTGGCTTAATGAGTTTAGGGTCCCAAGATTTCATTTCCTTTCACACCCCCATCTCTACAAAAAAAAATAAAAATAAAAATTAGCCAGGCCTGTACTAATAGCTAAGAGTACTAGCACGCACTTGCAGTCCTAGCTATTCAGGAGGCTGAGGTGGGAGGGTCCCTGGAGCCCAGGAGTTCAAAGCTGCAGTGAGCCATGATCACACCACTGCACTCCACCCTGGGTGAAAGAGCATGACCCTGTCTCTTAAAAAAAAAGAAAAAACCCTCCCTTTGCCTCTAATGACAAAACGGTCTTTCCCTTGGTGGAATAGCTTGGGAGCTTTGGGAAGACTGAATGCACAGTAGGTTCTGCATTGTCATTAGAATCTATGCTAAAGTTATCAATGGCCTTTATTTTATTGAGTACCTAGTAAATGTAGCAAACCAAAGGCCCGAGATGCATTTACTTTACTTGCCATTAAATTAGGCAGTAGCTTCAATGACATAAGGGTAAAATCTAATGAGCTTTGTACTCTTGTTAGAACAGGTAAGGAGAATTGAGGTCTCAGCATTCACAGATGATGTTATGGCCCTTTGTGTCCTAGGACTGTTTATCTTAGGAGCTCTGTTTGACCCCTGGCAGACTGTTGTCTTTAGCTGAAACAGTAAAGTGTGATTCACCACAATATGGTAATGTTGAGAAATCCAAGGAAAACCTTTCATTTCCAGAACTTAGTGACCCTTTTTGAAGAAATCTATTATTGTCTAGCAATTTTATTACAAAAGCACATTAGGGTTTAAAAATGTGAAGTGGGTGTGGAAAAAAAAGGCTTATGTAACATTAGACGCAAAAAAAAGATTATAAAGTCTTGTCTATGCTAAGATTGTAACTATGTGAAAATTAGATAACATATTGACAGTAACTGGAAGGAAACATTAAAACAGCTGATTTTAGAATGGCAAGATAAGAGACTTTTTTCTCTTTTCTTTTTTTCTTGGTTGATTTCTGTTATTGTTGTTATAGTATTATTTGTACAATACAAGATTGTCAGCTAAACATGTATATTTTGCTTAAAATTATAATTCACTTATACTACAGACATTAAAAAATTATCCTCCACCTTAAAATCAAATATAGAAAATACGGAGCTTTGCTACCTTATCTTTAAAAACTATTATTTATTCTGTGAAATAAAAAAGGGAACAACTGCTAGCACAGTTCTTAAAACTAGCAGAAAACAATTTATCTCCTTCAGCATCACTGAAAACAGACTAAAAATTCTTATTTCTTTAATGAGAAATGGTAGAACAAAATAACTTATTATTAAATGTTCTTTCTCATTATCTAGTAGGCCAGAGAACATCTCTGAAAAAAAAACCACCATACATTTGAGAAATCTTTACTGGGGTTAAGCCAGAAAAGACTTCACCTTATATTTGCCTGGTGACTACCAGTGCTTAAAGACAGAGAATGCTGGCTGGTTTCTAACAACCAGAATTAAATCCCTAAATTATAAGTCTGAAAATTCAACTCAGAAAATAACCACACAGTTCCCCTGTTTCTTAGCCCTCTATTCAGTACTTAAACCCACAGGGACCTGTTGCCTATAAACAAAACTGAATATAGAATTAGGATAAATCTCACACGCAATGGGCATTTCCTGCTGTCCAGAAATCTCCATTTACTTTTTAAATAAAAGGACTCCTATCCATAAGAATTGGCTGCCTTTTCTTTTTGGTGTGTCATTAAAACTCAGGTCTTTCTTTGTATACCTTCCATGCAATTCAATCCAACAAAAATGCATCCAGTTGAGTGGCTTCCCAGACCTGTTAGGTCAACAAGCTCTACCAGGAGGCTATGGAAACACCTATTGGCCCTTGAACACTGTGTCTCATCCATTGGTTAGCATAGCTCATGCTGGACATCTAAACAGTTCAATCAGGAATTGCTGGACTGCGTGTTCCTAACCTTCCTCTTTGCATGACTGGTTATATGTGGTGAGAGTTATCAGTGGCAAAAAAAAGTAAGTCAAAGCTAAAATAATAAGCAATCTTCAGAGCAACAAATGAACTACCCATTATTAGTAAATTGACTGCCATGCTAAAAAGAGTGAATTCCATTCTAAGAGCAATGGGGACCAATGGGGAATGAATTTGAAAAGGAAGAGGATAATGTAACTTGGGTTTAGGATAAGAACTAAACCCAAAGGCAAGATGAATATAGATTACAGAGGACAGAAATAGGAATTGGGGAACTAATAAATTTCCCCAATTGGGTCAGTTGGAATTGGAATTGTTGAACTGACCCAAACCAAGGCAATGAGGGTAAGAATAGAAATGGGATAGATAATACTTTAAATGGATAAAAGGATGCAACAAATTTGATGCAGATTAATGAAGAAAAGCACAGTGTGAAGACAGTTAAGAAGACATTAGTGTTCCTAGCCTGGATTACTGAGTCTGAGTGATGCCATTAATATAATTGAGGAACTAAGGGGAAAAAATTGGTTTAGGGAAGAAGACAATGAGTTTGATTTTGGATATAATAGGTTGAAAGTGTCTTAGGGACATCCATGGGGAATGGCCCAGCAGACAATTAAGATATGCCAGGGCTAGAAAAGAACATTTAACAGTACAGACTTTGAAATTAAATCCTGGTTCTGCCACTTAGATTAAGTGGCCTTGTATGAGATATTTAAACTTCTGAACCTTCTATTTCTTTATCTAAAAAAATGAAGATAATTACATTGTAGAATTTTGTGAGCATTAAATAAGAAACGTGTGGAAAGCACTTACAATGTCTGACACATAATTAAGTACTAAAAATAAAAAATGATCTTCCATTGAACCACTGCAATAATCTCTTCCTATTCTGTTTCATACTTTGCCTCCTTCAGTCCACCTCTGCATGGCAATCGAAGAGATCTTGTCATAACAAAGATGAACTCCCCATCACTTCTCTGCTTAAAAATCCTCTAAGGTATCCCTCTGAACCATGGTCTGTAAGATCTGGCATTTCTATTCTTTGGCCCTTGACCATGCTAGTCTCATTCTACCCTCAGGGCCTTTGCCCTTGCTGTTCTCTCTGTCTGAAATGGTCTCCTCTAGATTTTTCAAGGTTGGCTTTTTTCATCCTTTTGCTGTTAGCTCATATGATACCAACTAATGGAAGCTTTTTGGTGATTGTTTCTTCATCTATCCCAGGTACCTTCTATCCTGTTATTCTGTTTTTATTTTATCTATAGAACATTACTATTTGAAATGAAAAATTTAAATATGTTTACGTGATGTTTTCTGTTCCCTCTGTTCAATAAGAATATCAGTTCCTTAACAGCTTGTCTGTCTTATTTCCTGCTCTATCCTCAGTACCTGGCATAGAGTAGTTTCTCCATAGTCATTGAATGAATGAATGAATGAATGCAAATATATGGAAGAATTGTGGACCCTTAAATATAAAGTGTGCATTTCACTTCCAGTAAGATGAAATAGTCTGATTCAGAAACATAAACTCATGATGTTGAGCTACTGTAATCTGGATGTCCCAATGAGGTAAGCCAATTAACCTCTCTGGCCCCCATTGTCCTTCTCACTGTAAAAGAATGAACAATTGCCACTCTCTTGCCCAAGACGGATGCAGTGAAGAATACATGAGATGAAATCTGGCATATGTCTGGAGTTTTACAAGAGGAAGACATTCTATTTAACTGTTCAACCCATCATAAAGATGACTGGCACAGGCCAAAATGGCATAATCAAAATCCCTAAAGTCACATCAAATCACTAGACTATGAATCCCCAAAATGTCCTGAAACAATAGTCTATCAGAATTTCCACTGAGCTACAATGATAATGTAAATCCCAGGATCACAATTCACTGTGGTAGTTCCTGAAATATTATGAAAAACAAGGCCACTCCCCAAATGGATTAGTAATCACAAAGAGAATGCAAAATGCCTCCTGACAAAGCATGATCAACACCTCAATTTCCAGACTCCTCGTGTCCCTCTCTCTGTGGACACCATCAATCAATGTCCCTTTGGTACACAGGAGCCCACTGCTGGAGCATTCGGTCAGCACCTACTAGGAGGCTTACTCTCAGAAAAGCTTTTTGACATACATCCAAACAAACTGAAGAAAATATTGAAGTCTTGAGCTCCATTTCAGGCCCAGCAAATGGAAGCTGGCCTTATAGGTGAACAGATAACGGCTCAGCTCAGGATGACTCTGACTTAAGCAACATCCCTCTCTGGTTACCCACCTTCTGTGAAGGCTCTATGAGAACAAAGAGATCCAGAAAGTTCATCATACCTGGTATAGAAATTAAAAGAATGAGTGTTTCACTTAGGTAGCCCCAGGTTATTTTGATTTTGTTGTTTAGCAGTTACATAACTTTGGGCAAGTTATTCTAAACTTTCAGGGGCTTCAGATTTTAATTTGTAATGTGAGGATAATACTGCCGGTCTTTAATTGGTTGTTTTAAGGATGAAAGAGATAGAATAAAATGTTAAGCATGCTCAACGAACACCAACTATTCATATGAACCAATAGCTAATAATAATCAATTATCATTAATACCTGAATCCAAGTTATTTCTCTTTAATTCATCCAGCAAATATTAATTGGGCATCTGCTTGATGACAGGATTTGTGTTAGAAGTTGGGGATGCACAAATGAACATGGTAAACTGATTCCTATCTTTGTGCATATTTGTAAATAGGTAATTATGGTATGGCATAATAAATGTTACCATGGGAAGAGTTCAGAGTGCACTGAGAGCAACCGGATGGAAAATCAAACATGGCCCAGGGAGTCAGGAAGGCTTCTTGGAAGAAGTGATGCTTAAGCTACGGATCAAGGAAGTCATCCAAAAGGTTGGGAGGATGGAGTAAAGAAAATCCTATGCAGAAGAAATACTATTTGCAGATAACTGAAGAATAGAGAGCAAGGCATTCTCAAGTTGCAGAAAATAGGTTTGCGTATGGCACAAAGTCTGGTAAAAAGGGGTTTTGCAAGTTCTTGTTAAAAAAGTTTTTACTTTAATCTGAGAACTACCTGAAACATGGTTAGATTCAAGCCAAAGAGTGGTTTGGATGTATTTATGTTTTAGAATAACTCTGGCTGCAGCGTAAAAAAAAATAGACTAAGCAAAGAAACCACTATGAGTCTATGAATTAAACAGATATCCTACAAGGATGTAGACCAGTGGACATATTCTACAGATATCTAGAAGGGACAATGACAATGACAGGACTTTGCAATTGATAGGAAGGTAGAATGAGGGAGAGAAAGGAGTGGAAAATGAACATCAGGTTAAATGGTAGTGCCACTCACTGAAATAGGAAGCACAGAAGAGGAACAACCTTTGAATGTTCAATACAGGATAAGCTGAGTTTGAAATGCCCACAGAGCTCTCAGGTGGAATATTCAGCAATAAGGTGATTAATCAGGCCCAATGATATGGTTCAGCTGTGTCCTCACCCAAACCCCATCTTGAATTATAATTCCCCTAATCCCCATGTGTCATGGGAGGGACTTGGTGGGAGGTAATTGAATCATGGGGGCAGTTACCCCCATGCTGCTGTTCTCATGATAGTGAGTGAGTTTGCACAAGATCTGATGGTTTTATAAGGGGCTTTTCCCTCTTTGCTCAGCACTTTTTTTTTTTTTAGACAGAGTCTCACTCTGTCACCCAGGCTGAAGAGTGCAGTGGCATGATCTCTGATCACTGCAACCTCCAGCTTCCGGATTCAAGTGATTCTCCTGCCTCAGCCACCCGAGTAGCTGGGATTACAGGTACCCACCACCATACCTTGCTAATTTTTGTATTTTTAGTAGAGATGGGGTTTTGCCAAGTTGGCCAGGCTAGTCTCGAACTCCTGACCTCAGGTGATCCATCCACCTCAGCCTCCCAAAGTGCTGGGTTTACAGGCATGAGCCATCACACCTAGCCAGGAATTTCTTAATGAAAATTTGCTTGTGTATGTGTGTCCTAGGTGGCATTATAAATTGTATTATTTATTGTATGTCACAGTAAAAAAAAAAAAGTACCTGTACCTGTAATATAATATAGACTCCAATGTGTTTGTTGAATGGATAAATGAAGTGATTTTATAAAATTTATTTGATTTAATAAAATCTACCCCCAACTACAGCCTTGTGAAGTAGGAATTGTTGTGCCCATTTTAAAGATGAGAAAACTAAGACTATAAGGGTTAAGTGACTTGTCCAGATAACAAAACATGTAAGAGTAGGAATTGAGAGTAAAATCCAAATGTGGCTGGCTCTAAATTCAAGGATCTTAACCACAGATGGGTTGTTCTTGAAGCACTGGACATAGGCTGGCTCACATAATGTCAGGAGAAATGAGAAGCTCGGAGGGAACCCGAAGAAGCCTGGTGTTGGAAGATGGGCACAGGAGGAAGAGTCTCAGAGACACCAGAGGAGCTGCCAGAGAGGAGTCTTGGGAAGGAAAAGGAGCACATCAAGAAGGAGGGAGAGGTCCCAGTTGTGAAAAGGCCCAAACTTCAAGAAGAATAAAGACTGAAAATTTGTTAAAGATGTTGGCAAGAATCATTTCAGTGAACTTATAGAACACTGAGGACTGAGAGTAAAGGAGAGGTAAATATAGACAACTCTCAGGAAGTTTGGCTATGAATCAGAGGGAAGAAGACACAGTCAAGGCAATGTTTCTGCTTATTTATTTACTTGTAAGATAGGACATTCTGAGGGTGACTATATACTGATGTAAAAGTTGATATACTGAGAGAGGATAGTTAAAGGAGCAGGGTTCTTGAGAAGATGAGAGGTGACAAAATCCAGGTAAGAGGTGGGGTGATTGGCCTTGGATAAAGGAAGGAATGCTCTCTTGTTTAATGAGGGGGAAAGGGAGAAAAGGTAAATGCAGAGACAAACTACAAGGCTCTATAGCAAGATGTTGCCAGAGCTCCTCTCTGATGGCCTCTTTTTTCTCTAAGACACAGAAGGAGAGCTTGTGCTGTGAATGAAGAGAGGGTAGGGAATGTGTGGAATTGCCTCCATTAAAAAAAAAATAAACAAGGTTGTATTTACATTTGGATGAGCATAAACCCTCAGAAGCCTGTTCCTAGTTTTCCAAAAATCAGAAAGCCAAAACTTCTCTCCATCACAGGGCACCGCAGGAATGGAAAAGCAAAATGTTGATAGATACGTACTCCAGTCAGGTGAGAACAGAGGAGGGAGCGGACCAGGAAAGCCGGATTATGGGGCAGCACAGAGGATCCAGTTGAAGGTGGAGCCCATGAACTTCTAGTGACACCAGTCAGCAAATGTCCTGGAAATGACTGGAGAATCTCTTACTCTAATTGGGCTGTTTAACACATCAGGACTTCAGTAATAAGAATCTTACTTCATCCCTCCTGTGAACACTTAAAGCTGAAAGAAACAAACATCCAGCACAGACTAAAAGAAAAATACAAAAACATAGCCATTTTATGGGACTTATTGGACCTTCAAATGTATAAAATCTAAAGCAAAGTTGTAGCCTTTTGGCACCACCCTCATTTGAGCCTTATGCATTTGTTGGAAGTTCCCAATCTTGTATTTATAGGTGCATAAGATGATGTTAGTATTACTAGATTTATTTGAAGTTAGATAAACATAAACCCTCAAAAACCTGTTCAGAGTTGTCCTAAATCAAATTTTTAAATGCCCTCTATCACTGTGTAGTGAGGTAACAGGGATACAAAATATTGACATTAATTTCATTCCCAATGGCAAAAGCAGGTTCTTATTTTTCTTTATCTGAAATGCTTGACTGCTCCATTTATACCACCATGCTCATAGCCACTCACCCCCACTCTGTTCCAATAAGTCAATATTCTCCTCTTCCCATAAGTCCCCTAACATCTCTGCAGAGCCCCCCAGTGCCTTTATTGCAGACACACGGGCAATGGAATGTGCCCTCCAGAATCCAGTGTAGCTCTACAAGGCAGGGTTACACCTGCTCTCCAGCCACACCCTGCCTAGCCCAGGGCTGACCTAAATATAGAGCTCAGTAGACATGCTGAAGGTCCTCACAACCATCTGGTGGGAAATGCTGGATCCCTACCTCACTCTACATACCCCCAAAATTCCAGCTACACCAATGTCAGAGACATGTGAGCCAGAGCAACTCCATCTTGAATAGGAGCTGGGTAAAATAAGACTGAAACCTATTGGGCTGCATCAAATTAAGGCTTTCTAAGTCACAGAATGAGCTAAGAGGTCAGCATAAGATACAGATCATAAAGATCTTGCTGATAAAACAGGTTGCAATAAAGAAGCTGGCCAAAACTCACCAAAACCAAGATGGCCACGAGAGTGACCTCTGGTCATCCTCACTGCTTACACTCCCACGAGTGCCATGACAGTTCACAAATGCCATGCCAATGTCAGAAAGTTACCCTATATGGTCTAAAAAGGGAGGCATGAATAATCCACCCCTTGTTTAGCATATCATCAAGAAATAACCAAAAAAATGGACAACCAGCACCCTCAGGGCTGCTCTGTCTATGGAGTAGCCATTCTTTTATTCCTTTAATTTCTTAATAAACTTGCTTTTGCTTTGCACTGTGGAATCGTCCTGAATTTTTTCTTGTGTGAGATCCAAGAACCCTCTCTTGGGGTCTGGATCGGGACCCCTTTCCTGTAACACCAAGATTTAAAATGGAAAAATAAAGCTATAAGAGTACCAGGAGGGGAAAAGATTGAAGAATTTTTTCATAACCTCAAAAAAGTGGAAAAGGCCTTTCTAAATTTTTCCATAAAATTCAGAAGCTATAATATCAAATATTAAATGCATTTGACTACATAAAAAATAAAAGTTTCTGTATACCTCAAAACATCATAGGTAAGATCAAAAGAAATTGTACTTTACATGACAAACTAAGGACTAATTTATTCCCTGAATAAAGAGCTACTATAAATCAATAAAAAAAATTAAAGGCAAAGGATTGGAATACCCACAGAAAAGGAAAAAACAAATGACTTAGATTATAAATAGGCACTATACTATTCATAATAAAAAAGATGTAAATTTAAGCAGATCAAAATATTTAACAAATTGTGTTGGCAAGTATTTATAGAAACAGGCACATTCTTGCTTTGCTGGTGGGAATATGAATTATTGTAACCTTTTGCAATTTGACAATAATCACTAAAATTTAAAGTACACATATTGTTGGAACCAGAAATTGACTTCTGGGTATTTATCCCATAAATATATTCCCACAGATGAAAATGCATCTTTGTAATAGCAAAAGATTAAACATAACTAAATGTCCCATGGTGGAAGATTAAGACAATATTATTAAATATTGAGATGGGAAGATCTCCAAGACATGGTTAAGGGGAAAATAGTATGGTTCAGAACAGTGTATAGAGTATGCGATCACCTGTATTAAAAAATATATACACATATCCTTATATATGCATATGATTGTAAATATGCAACATACCCCTATAAGTATATATAAGAAACGAGTAACAGTGATTGGGAAAGGAATAAGATGGCTGGAAAATAAAAGAAAGAAGGATATTTGTATTCAACATATTGTATGTGCACATTTTGAATTTTTTAACAGCTGCTAACAAGTTAAAAATATCAATATCCAGCAAATTAAATGAAGATACCGCCAACTCACATACACATAAAGCTCACTTAACAGTATACAACTGTGGGAAGACTGATCAATGATCAGTTGAAATCACCTCCGAAAGTTTTTCTCTAAATATGAATTCTGGGCTGGGCACAGTGGCTCACGTCTGTAATCTCAGCACTTTGGAAGGCCGAGTCGGGCAGATCCCCTGAGGTCAGGAGTTCAAGACAAGCCTGGCCAACATGGTGAAGCCTTGTCTCTACTAAAAATACAAAACTTAGCTAGGCATGGTGCCTCATGCCTATAGTCCCAGCTACTCGGGAGTTTGAGGCAAGAGGATCGCTGGAACCCAGGAGGTGGAGGTTGCAGTGAGCCAAGATCAAGCCATGGCACTCCAGCCTGGGCGACAGAGCCAGACTCCGTCTCAAAAAAGAAAAAATAAATAAATAAATATGAATTCTGGATGAACGCTTAACATTCTTGTGTGCACAGAAAGCACACATACAGTGGTAACAGCACCATTGCTCCTGCGGAGAGGAACAGAACAATTCAAATCACTGATGTATGAACCTAGGAGCTTCTTTGCAGGCCATGATTATGTGATTCTGGCTTAGTTCCCATCTTAATTAACTGCTATTTTAAAAAATAATTTGTAATGATATCATTAGAAAAATTAAAATAAAGAAAAAAGTCCCTAAATGGTCCTGAGTCAAACTTGAGCTCTGGCCCCACTCAAGAAGAGAGAAAGCGAAAATGGCCTCTGAGATAAGTTTGAGTCTGGTTAAAAGCTTGCTCCTAAAACCATATTTAGACCCTTGGTGTACTGTTTGTCATCAAAGAAATCTGGCACATTATGTAGAAGAGAAGGATTAATGTGACTACCAAGTAAACCTAACAGTGAAATCCAGCCATGTTACTCAAGTTGATGAATGATTTGGAGTGCTGGTACGCTATTGTAAAACACAGTTGACTGTTTACAAGACAGAGCAATTTCTTTTCTTACATTTTCTCCTCCAGCATTTCTGAGCAATTATATTAGGAAGTGGCTGTTTACCCTGGCAGCTGGGCTCCGTATCTCCACCACTGGAGAGGCAATTCCCCGGGCTACAAATACCCGGAGAGCTGACTCATTACATAAAAAGGAAGTTCTGTTTGGTAAAAGAGTTTAAAGAACACACTTTAAAACGTGCATTAAACACTAGTGTTAATCATTGCCAGAAAGGACGAGTAGGCCACAGGCGAGTTGGTGAACTTAAACCCAAACTTATTTTGATAAAATTTGGTACCTTGAACTCTAGATCTTTTATGAAAACTGAGGTTGTAGGCCCAGCACTAACAAGAGTGTCAGGAACTTTCCATTTCCATTATAATTCTAATAAATTTATTAATATTTTAATGTGATAAGTATGACACTTCTCTTTGTTTCCTCATCTAAAACAATAAGCCTGGCATACTTACCTATATTAGGGGTGATGATGAAATTCAGTTAACTATGCCTAACACCGTATAATCCCTGGCGTGGATAGTTCGAAAAATAAATATCTTTTTCTTAATTGTAGGCAAAAATGAGAAAATAGAAAATATCTATTAATAGTTTCATCTATCATAAAATTTTATAGCCATAAAAGATATCTAAGGGGAGTGTATATTCAGGGCAACTTGAATCTATGCTACCTGATTGCAATATATATCTATATGTCTAGCAACTATACTCACAAATACATATGTAGTAATTTTTTCCCAAATTGCTTGTACATTTCCTTTCTTTTCTATCATAAGACAGGAAAAAAAATTATCTCTGGACAATTCCCAAAGTGGATGCATTTTTTTCTTGTCTGGGCACACAGCCAATAGAGATTAAACTAGGAAGGGAATTGATATGACCGTGGGTGAGTATATTAACCCCTCTGGATGCCAGTTTTCTTCTCTGTAAAATAAAAACTGGACTAATAAGTGGTTTTCAAACCTCAGTATATTTTAGAGTTACCTAGGAAAGCAGATCTTGGCCATCAGGTTAGGATCTGTGCATTGGTATTTATTTTTACAAACTCCCAAGATATTCTGATGTACACCAAAGTTAGAAAATTCCTAAATCCAAGCATTCCTAAAGTCACTTCTGGCTCTAACAATCATCAATCTTTTTTAAAACATACCTTCTTTGCATATATAGAAAAAATTTTTTAAGTGTAAAACTGCAATTATATACATACTTTGGGGACATTTTTTCTCTTTTCTATTTTTGTGTGGCTTGCCCTCCTGCTGATACTCCCATGGGCCCCACGGTAACAATCTATCAGTGATCTTCATAAAGCACGCAGGGGCCTTCCTGGTCCCTTATTCTAGATTTGGGATGCTGAATCCCAAACTTCAAATGTATTTTTTTCATCTAACTGAAAATATCAATTATGTGCAAATCCTCTGTTTCCTCTCATTCTGTCTCCCTTACCACCATCCAGATAACCTCGTTCCAACTGATTCTGCACAATCACGATTGTCTGCCTCAGTGTCTCCAGGGTGAGCTCAATGCTTGGTGGGCACTTAGGAATTGTTTGTTGACTGACTAACTGGCTTTGGAAAGGGAGAAACTCAATCTTTTCTGCTGATTGTTTGCTGACTCTTAGTGGGAGGTTATCTTTACTAGGATATCTTTACTAGGAGTAAGAATATCAGAGATGCATGGAAGCAAAAAAGCAGTCGAAAGCCAGAACCCAAGTCTTCCATGAGTCCACTGAACTCTCTCAATTCACAGGCAAATGAGACTCTGAAATTGGACATTGCATATATAAAAATAAAAGGAAGAAATAATGGTTTCCTCCAAAATAGGTAAATAGAGACCTACCAAATAACACACACCAATCCAAATAAATACCATGTGGAATTTGATAAAAATTGTTATGCTTAGTCTATTTGATTATATTTGTTAAATTTTCAAAGAAATTGGATCAAGTAGAGAAACTGAATGTATTGTATGGTGTTCTATTTGAATAGTAACAAGAATAATAAAGCTAATTTGTAATTTGGAACAGGCAAAAAATTAATAAAATTTTGCTCATGGGTGGAAATCTTCATGAGACTGAAATTTCATTCATTTGCTCATGGAACCAAGCATGGGGAAAAATGTTCCCAATGAATCACTATGGATGAGAAGCTGAGATATGATTTACCACCTCACCTCCCCATACAATACATTAATGGTTCCCTGCATGTTTTACTTTATGTTCATCCAAAACACCCAGATTAATAACCAAGCACAAGAGTGTATATAACATCACATTGCCCATCTCTGAGGTGCCAGGAAGGATCGTGCCAAAACCGTCAGGAAAATGGATTGTGCTGCCTCCCTTGGCAATACAAACCAGTGTGTAATAACCCTCTTAGTCAGTTTACCCTTCTGTTGCCATTAATGTAGATTACAAACTTAACTAAGAATGCAGCAAAAGATCCAAAGATCAAAAAGAGCATGGATGACTACACACCCTCAAATCTATAAAAAAAAATTAATACAGAGCATACACATCAACCTGTTCTTAAAAACACTCTCAGAGCTGTCACATGTGCTAGATAGTTCTCCACAGAGAAGACCTTGGTCTTCAGGATGTCAGGCAAACCTCCTGACTCAAGCACTGAAATAAACACAAATCACCATTATGAAGTCAAATCTATAAACAAGCTTGGAAACCAATCCAAAATCCCTCAGATCCACACCTATACACTCAGTGACTCATGTCTATGAGCCATGGTGACCATGCCCAGGGTTGGGGTCAGAAGAATCAGGGGAAGTGCAATAGCAAGGGGACTCTTCCACAGCCTTTTTTGAGGGTTCTTCAGTCCTGGCTAACTCTGCATTCCATTTATGATGCCTATGAGGAATACAAGAGGAGCTTCAAATAAGCACTGGGTATATGAGCCTGGAGCTCACCGAAGTCAGAGGGGGATGGACATGTGGGAGTTTTTAGCATGTGGGTAACCATAGCAAAGCCTTGCAAATTAATAAGGGCCCCTTTAAATAAAAAAAATTTCCATTATAATTTTGGCCAGCCTTCCCAAAATAGACTTTCTGCATTATTATGACAATATTTTAATTTTGAAATTTTCATAAGATTTACTCTGTTGCAAATTAGCTGTTAAAACTTACGCAAGTCATTTAATTAAATTATTAGGCTCTTAGTTTCTTCATCTGACAAGCTTAGATAAATAATAATTATAAACTCTAACTTCAAACGTTAATCTGAGGATCCAATGAGAAGACAGATAGAAAAGCACTTAGAAGATTTAAAACATTATCCAAATGAGACGTTTTATTTCTATTAGGGTTTTTAAATTTTTTAATTTTGAAATTTGTCATAAGATTTACTTTGTCAATTCCTCCTAACAGTGTCGATTTCTCCTAAGCTTGCCTTTCAGTCTTGGTGTTTGGCCTTTGGGACCAGTCCTCTCCTTCCACCTTTCACGCCCTGTCTGGTCCACATCTGTATGAACTACACTCAGCTGGTCGATGTTACTTTCCTACCCAACCTGCTCCTAGAGGAAAGTCAGGGCTCACAGAGGCTCCCTCCAAATGCACAGCCATCAAGGAGAAACAATATTTGTCACCTTGGGCTGCCATAACAAAATACAGACTGGGTGACTTAACCAACAGAAATTTATTTCTCACCATTCTGGAGGCTGAAAGTCTGAGATCAGGAAGCCAGTATGGTCGGTTTCTGATGATGCTTCTCTTCCTGGCTTGTGGGCAGCTGCCTTTATGCTGTGTGCTCACATGACCTTTGTGTAAGAGAAAGCGTGAGAGAGCTCAAGCACTCATGTCAGGACCCCACCTTTATAACCTCATTTAACCTTAATCATTACTTTATAGGCTCTATCTCCAAATTCAGTTTCATTGTGGGTTAGGGGTTCAACATATGAATTTTGGAGAGACACAATTCAGCCCATAGCAGACAATGCAGACAATGAGAATACTCTAAAGCTAATCCCAGAAACAAAAGTGACCTGAGGAGATTTTATTTAATCCAATATGAATTTGCTCTTACCTTCCACTCTTTATTTCACCTGCAGGGTCTTTCTCATGAAAGTGGGATGAGGGTATGCAGTATTCTCTTCACAAAATGCAGTCGCATTTTAGAAATAGAATTACTTGCAAATTCAGACAAAAGCCTTGGAAAGGTACTCCCCAAACTATAAACAATAAAGAGTTCCCAGGTGGAATTGGTAGAAAGATGGGGGAGACGGGGGGTTGCTATTATGGTGTTTTCTATTCTACATACTTTATATTATCCATTTTTATATCATGAGACTGGACATGTATTACTTTGCAATTGAAAAGAAAAATAAACTATGAATGGAAAAAATAAATTGAACTAAAATGCTGACATTTAAGGAAATGTGTTGTGAATATCAAGTCTAAGGAATAAAAAAGTTGACTTTTAGCATGCTCTTTAAGCAACTCTGAATCACACTCCTGAATTCTCCTACTTGTTTTTTCTATGATTTTAAGCTGGAAATAGATTCCTTAAAAACTTTAATAAACTATTCATTGTTAATAACAACACACAAAAAGTTGAAAATCTTTAGAAATAAGCTTGCCTTTTTAAATTATATCTCTTATTTCTTTGCATATTATTTTAAAGAATCTAATCTAAACTTGTATTTTTTTAAAGACTTGGCAAAGCATAAGATTATTGTCAAATTATTTAAGAATACCTATTTAAAATTATTTAAGAATACCTATTTAAAATAATATTTTATGTGTTGTGGCTATTTTACATTATTCTAAGTCATGTAATCACACATGACATGAAAATTAATGAAGAGGGGTAGATTGAGAAACAACTCATCTGGCTCATCCGTGGATCTCTGATCAGGTGATCCCTCTGTCACCAAGGGTAACTCATTTTTTCCTGACTAGAGAACAGTCGGTTTCCCTATATGTAAAATAGGGACTGTGAGAATTTAGAAAAATTTGTCCTCAGCAGAGTACGTCCTTGAAAAACTTTGACTGCTCAAGAGAGTCCTATACGTAGTAGGCATTCAATAAATATATAGTAAATAAATAAAATTGGTAAAATTACTAGCCACACTTACAGACAAATGACATATTTAACAATTAACCTTCTAAAAATTGTAACAGCTAAAAAGATACTCTTTCAAAGACCCAGATTTATTCTTAATTGTACTTTTTTTGCTAGATTCAAGAAGGATTGGGAGGATGGAAATCAACTCTTAGATTATCAGAGCAGGCAGAAAAGAATCAGGAACATCTTCATAAGCAAAAATCCAATGAATGCTTTTTAATTGAATTAAACAGTCTGGAGTTGTTTAAATAATTTCATTTATTTTAATGTTCCACTATTAAACACTGAAAAAAGTGCAGCCACTGCTCCTCAGGACGAAATAGATTTCTCCTACCCTTTGAACTCAGCCAACTTTCTCCCAGTATATTTTTAGTCTGCACAGGAAATACTAAAGACTAAGGAAGTTGGAATGTGACTGACCTTTTACCTGTAATGATACCAGCAATGCCAACATTCGCCACCAGTGACGTGGGGATAGAGATGACAGGAACTCTTTGCTACGGAACTGAACAGCTTCTTTTCACTTGAGTTGATATCTATCCCTGTAGTTTTGCAATGTCCTATAATTACTTTAGACATCACCCATTTTAAAACAGGGTATGCCACACTTTATAATCCACTCCACTTAAAAGAAACCGTAAGAGGCCGGGCACAGTGGCTCACACCTGTAATCCTAGCACTTTGGGAGGCCAAGGCGGGTGGATCACGAGGTCAAGAGATCAAGACCATCCTGGCCAACATGATGAAACCCTGTCTCTACTAAAAATACAAAAATTAGCTGAGCATAGTGGCGCACGCCTGTAGTCCCAGCTACTCAGGAGGCCGAGGCAGGAAAATTGATTGAACCCGGGAGGCGGAGGTTGCAGTGAGCCGAGATCACACCACTGCACTCCAGCCTGGTGACAGAGCGAGACTCCATCTCCAAAAAAAAAAAGGAACCATAAGAATACTATCATAATGCTGTTACCCTTGACTGAAGATCCAAACAGATTGGTGAAATGAGGCTCTAGGAAGATTATCTGCAGTATATGCAGCCAGATCGTTCTCTATACTTTAACATGGGGCCTCCCTGTGCAAGGTATCTTGTGAGGGTAGCCTGAGTAAAATGTCTAAATCATTAAAATGTCTGGTCATTTAACATGAAGCAATTTATCAACACTTTGGTCACTAACACTTAACAGTGCAGCATAATTATGCTTTCAAAGCCTTTCACACTCAGACATTAAATAACTTTGGTCCCAGTTCATAGAAAACTTTATAAAATATTTCCTTCCTTCATAGTTGTAAACCAACAAAAGATGACGACATCATCTTCCTTTATTCTCATTTAATTGTATGAATCAGAATCAGGCTTTTCATTCATACCAGGTAATAAGTATCCAAAGGCACCTACAGACATTGTGCACATATTAATTGAGAAACATAAATTTTTCTATTACTCCAAAGTTTCCTTGACGGGATTCAGAGGTAGCAATCACCAAGTTCTGCTGAGAACACCTCCCAAACTGCTTGTCTCCCCTCCCAGAGCCACTGCTCCTGTGGTCTAAGCTACCACCATTGCTTGCCTAAATTACTGCAACTGCCCACTAACCATCCCTCCTCTAATGTATTCTCCATTTCACCAGAGACAGCTTCCTGAAAGGCAAATCTGATAATGCCTCTCCCCAACTTAATATCCTTCCATAGATTTCCATTGTTCCAAAACAGAATGCTGATTCTTGAAGATGGTAAAAATGATTGCACCCCTGCTGCTTTCTCTAGTCTTACTCCTCTATTGTTAAACCATGGAGGGCTCTCACTTCCTTTATTTAGCATTCACAAAAAAAAAAAAATTTACCTTCAAGTGGTAGTTTTTGTAATAATAGAGATGTTGCTACTTTTATATTATTATACAGAAAAAGCGATTCTTATCAAACTTAACAGTCCCTAGCCAGCCAATCATTTTTGTGAAAGAGACAAGAATGTGGCAAACAGGCATGATATTTTAAGTAACTAAATGATATTATAATATAGTATCTGTATTTTTTTAATTTTTAATATGTACCAAACATATATATGTACTTCCCATTTATTAAATCTCATCTAATTCTTCCAGTAGCCCTTTGAAGTGGGTAACATACCACCTCCATTTAACGATGAGATGAGTGCTGGAACTATGGATTTGTTCACTCAATTTCCATTCATTCTCACTGGTGAGGTTGCAAAGACAAAAACAACATTTTCAAGATCTCCCTGCAGCTAGAGTCCTGGAAGGAATTTGGGTCCCAAAAGGTGGATACACACAAGTGTGGCATGAAGATATAGAAGGCAGACACCACCTTCCTATCCCTTCTTGGCTATTTCTGCTGACAAACAGGGTAAGGCTCCTAGCACCACGTCCCAGGACCCAGTGTTCAGAAGCCATGGCAACAATAGTAGCAGCATTAGGTTCTTGACCCTGGCATAGCTCCATTGCTGGTCTCAGAGTTGGTAGCTCCCCTGGTCGGCCAGTTTTGTAAAATATCTTTCCGTTTCAAATACTTAAAGTTGTTTATCTTTTCTTATATTGAACCTGAGAGTGTGCAGAAGCCTATATGCTCATTAGACTACAGTTAAGCTGCTGAAACAAAGACACTCAAAAAATAGAGTGGCTTAAATAAGACAGAAATTTATGCTTCTTTATGTAACAATACAGAAGTGGGTGGTATCACAGACGTGGAGTGGCTGTATTGTCATCAATATGCAACATCTCTCTTTGGCCCAAGGCAACTCCAATTGTTTGCTATTTCTCAGCCAGTTGCAGAAAGGGAAGTGGAATAAATACCCAATGATGTTCCAATACTTAAAAAAAACTCCCATTCATGTACTACTGGCTATAACTGAGTCACAGAGCAATCCCTAGTCACAAAGAAGGCTAAGAGAATATAGTCACTAGGTAGGTAACCATGCATCCTGCTAAAACTAGGTGGGTGGGGGGTGCATTTTGTTAGATAAAGAAAGCAAGAATGGTTACTAGGGTAAATTATCCACTTCTGCCATGTCTACCCCTCCTCCCAATATCTATGTACACACTTCTTTTTGCAAATAAACACCACAGTCACCCCTATCTTTGAGTAGGATTCTAATCTATTGGCTTCTATGTGAAAGTCAGAATAGCCAAAGTTTGTCCCTGGTCACAGTTTTTAAGCCAAGTCTTCTCTTTTATCTACTGGTCTCTGTGCTCAGCCTGTCTCTCTTTCCTTTCATTTAATGTTGGCTAACTTTAGTGGCAACCATGTGAAACAGGAAGGCAGCATCTTCAGTGTAATCTTTGCTCTGGACTGGCTTCAATTGTCCAGCTAACTGAAGGCACTGAATAGTTGGCAGTTGAATACTTAACAGAAGGCACATGGAAAAGGCCACCATCATCAAACTTATCTACTGCTGTTTGCAATACAAACAGATTTTCCAACTCTGCATGACTGAATCTTTCAAGCACATTAGATTACAAGCCATAGGTAATAAGAACCTCCCTTATCAGAGCTATATTCTCTTCTATCTTTGCTTGCTGGCTAATAATTCCATAACTTCCATTGCTTCTTATAATACATTGTTAAAAGTAGTGAGGACTAGCCAATATATATCTATATGCAAAGTTTTTCTCACTGAGCTAAAGGTCAGCAGGTGTATGGCATGTCTTCCAAGTTATGATAGGCAACTGTTTTAGCAAATTACGTATCACAGAATAACAAGTATTACCAATGTTTCTAGATCAAATTTCATGCCCATGTCACCCTCTGCCTGTTGCTATTCAATGACACAAAATTTAGCTTTTTGTTATGGCAACGCCCCACTTCTGGTTCAAATTTCTATATTAATTAGGGTATACGCTAAGGTCTTCTTTAAAAAAAAGACCCCCACCCCCACCCCAAAGTATCATGTCTTCATAACATAGAAATTTGTTTCTCTCTTACCTAACAATCCAGAGGTGAGCAGAGACTCTACTACAGATATGGGACTCATTTATGGACTCTCTTCAGCTGTTCTATTGTTATCATTTCCCAGCCAGCAGAAATTGTTTTTTAAAAGTAAAATCCAGAAAATGCCTACATTACTTCTTGTCACTTTCCATTGACAAGGACTTAGTCTTGTTGCTCCAAAGGATGCTGTGAAATATTATATCTAGTCAAGTAGCCATGTGCCTTGCTAATAGTCAGGAATTCTATTACTAAAAGAAGAAGAAAAGGGACACTGAGACATAATTAGCAACCTCTTCCACCATGAGAATTGGAGGATTACAACTGCATGACTCCAAATCTGAAAAGCAAAACTGCTTCCAAATGGTCTTCATTTATGTACAGAGTGTTAAGTCTCCCAGTATTGCTGTTTACTCTGCTGGTACATATTCTCTAGAAAAAGTTGTGATGTCTTTGTTTGTCATCATGTTTTAACGTAATCATTCACTTATTCTAGCAGTCATCATTTATTGAATGCATACTATGTGTCAGACATTTAGTTGTATAATAGGAATATAAAGATAATGAAGACAGAATGATCTGGGTTCATCATTCAGAGTTTCTTTTTATTTGGATTATTTATTTAGAAAATTTATCATTCTTTTCTGAACATTCCATAAAAAATAAAAATTTGCTTAAAAACAATTTCAAAGGAAAGCACACAAGGGAAAGGGTTTTATTTTTCACTCTCCTCAATTTTGTATTATTTACATCAATTTGCCTAACTAAAATTATACTTTGCTGTAAAATGTAGTGAATCATTTAAGGTACAAAAATCTTGATCTTGGCAATAAGAACAAGTTTTAACCTAATTACACCTACACACTCTTACTAATCAACTGCTATATTGATACCACTTTCCATCATTAAAATGAAACTGCAATATGCAAAATGCTTTTGTCCTCCACTGAGGGCCCCCAATTTGGAATCCTACTTCCTGTGGATCCAAAGCAACATCTGAATATTTCCCAAAAGAATCCAAAAGCAACGAGTACCTGTTGTATCATTCCATTTGTACAAAATGTAGACAAACAGGAGAAAGCTCATCTATGCTGTTAGAAGCAAGGATTGAGGTACCCCTGCTGGGGGCATGGAGGAGGCTTCTGGAATGCTGATAATGTTCTGTATGTATACATCAGGGTGCTGATTGCACAGGTGCATTCAGTTTGTAAATCCCATCAATACCCTATACTGAAAATTCTAGTAGTAGTTTTTCATTGTCCATACTATTTAGAAGGCATTTAAAGAAATCAATGGGGTGCTAAGCACTGTACAAGCCCCTGTGGAGGTTTCAAACAATATGTAATACATGTGCTTTTCCCTCAAAGAGGTACCTTTCTATTTTCCCATCAGAATAAGTCAGCTGTGATATGGGGGGGAAAGATTGAGAATCTTTGAGGAGTTCTGACACTGCATGTCCATGCATCAGTCCAGGCCGATAGTCACCGTCCTGATCTTTAACTTTCTGAGCTATGTCAGAACTCTAAGATCCTCTGCTCTATAATTCTCTTCTGGTCAAATAGTCATGGTTGTCATTTTGTTCTTTTAGTCTGAAGAAGTCTTTTTGGCACTAAGAATATCAAATTAGGTTGACACTGGAAACAAACGTGATTAAATCATAACAAATCTGTGTAGCTTTTTACCAAAAGACAGGGCCGTAGGACTGAAGAAGGCTGGGACCTGGCACCCTGACTGCTGGTTTATGTTCAATGCCCTGTCACTAGCTTGCATGGCCTTAAGCAAGGCTTATCATTTTTCTGGTCCTCAGTTTTGTTATTTGAAAGTCAAGAGGGCTGGGCTCCCTCCAAATCCCTTCAGTTCTAAATTTCTGTTTCTGAGTTAATTTGTTGAAAACTAAGAAGCAGCAGGACAAAGACTGGTTTTCTGGCTTAAGCCCAGTTTTCTTTCCACCGATATGTATGTTTAAAAAGCAACCTAAATTCAGATTTTAAAATTAATGTTGCCCAGTATGTGCTGGACACTACCATGTGAGGTAGGTATGTTACTCCTTTTTCAGATGAGGAACTGACCATCAGAAAGTTAAGAGACTTGCCCCAGTGTATGTGCCTGATTGATGCCAAAGGCAGAATAAAAAACTTGGTCCTTCTGGCTCCAGAACTTCCCTCTCCCACCAGGGCTTGTAATACATCCAAAAATCAACAAATAGCCCTAAAATAAATCCAATCCTAAAGCAAAAATAGTCTTTCTTTTTCTAGTTGCCTCCAGTTGAGAAAGAAAAACAAGAATTGGGAGTTTCACTTATAAAGATAAAATTTCATGTCATTTGTTAAATTTATAAAACTATATGCAGTTTGTAAAAGGTCTTGCAACGCCTCCAAGTCCCAGCATGTTTTAATACTTGACAAACGTGTTTTCGTTTGTGCTGCACTTCACATTTTATCTGAAGATCTCAATTCTTTGGGGGCATAAAAGACTTTAATGGGCATAGAGTCAAACATCAACAAGGATTTTCTGGGCTTTGCTTTAAAATTTTACTGCTAAATTAGAAAGGCTTACAGATAGAACACTCAACCTGCCATGACATCCTTTGTCGGGTGTCATATATGCTTTGCAGGAGTTGCCACCATGAAAACAACTGCAAGATGCAAAGGAAAATAGCTTTGCAGTGAGGTGCAATGAACAACACTCATAGTAAACTTAGAAACTTTTTTTTATGTTGTTTCAACCAGGCTGATGATTGTTTTAGAACAAGTCTCCTGCCATGGCCTGACACTTGATCCACAGAATTCCTTAAAAGACACTGGGCCAGGCAGACAGTAATATATCATATGCCTGACAAAGACACAAAACATCCTGGATATTGCCATAACTCTCAAGGAGTTGTTAGAGTGGCTAGAGGTCACTTAAGTACTTCTAAAAATACAATGGCATAGCCTTCCTGGGCTTATTTCTTTTAGACACTAGACCATCAATTAATATTTGAGAAACATGCATTATAAAAGTTTGCTCTGAGAAAAATTTACAATATTTAGTCAGTCTTTATCATGTGATTCCTCCGGGCTGAATCTCCCGTTCAATTTCTCTTCCCAGATTCTACCCTAAACTAAATACCGAGGTTTGGGGTTACCACTATATATAATGGGACTATTTTCTAAATCAAGGCTTATGACCCTGCATATTTGTTTTTTTCCTGTGGTTGTAAATTAACAGTATGTTCCCACTACACTTGTGTTCTCACGTATTCCTGTCCCCGCCCTGGCCCAGTGTACTGACCTTACTAAGTGCACAAATAGTGTCTCTTGGAAACTGCTTACATTCAATAGCACTTTCTAGTGTTCCATGTATCATTTGTTAAACATGCTTTTAGAATCTATCATGCCAGAGGCTAGGAGTTACTGATATAACATTAAACAAGTTGGACATAGTGCTGTCCCCACAGAACTGACCACCAGAGATATGACCAGGAGATATGACCAAAGAGATATGAACAGGAACCCTGGGAATACCAAACGGGAGGGAAATCAAGGGTGCAGCAGAAACAGAGTCCAGCAGAAGAGGAATGTTCTCCCATATACAGGAATCTAAATTCTACTTGATATTCTATCTCTTATAAGCACGTGTAGTTCACACCTCTATTTGGGATCCCTATAGAACACAGAGAAAGAGGGATGCTCTACTTCCCACTCATTTGCAAGCTTGCATTTAGGGAGCACTCACCATACAGTGAGTCTGATGTATGCTGTACATAGTAACAGTATACCCTGAGCCAGATGCTGTTTTAAGCCTTTTACATATATCTGTGAATTTTTTCATTTGATTCTTACAACCTCTCTATGAGGTAGTATACAGTAGTGTCTCTATTCTACAGATGACGAAACTGAAACACAGAGAAGCTGAGTAACTTGCCTGAGTTTACACAGCTACTAACTTAGCAGCAGCATTTAAACTCAGACAGCCTAGCTCCAGCCTGAGCTCTTTGGCCCTTCCTTCCATGCCTCTCTACCCCAGCACGTAGATAAGCAAGCACACCATGCCTCTCTTTCCTGCAGGAGCTCTCACTCCACTGGCAAAAGTGGGTATAAACACCTACACAGTGTACAGGGGCTATACTGGAAATATGAATCACATGACTGCAACTCACAAAACAAACTTCAGAAGACATAGTCCACAACACTTATACAAAACAGAACCTATTCTCCATAACAGAAATGGCTACCACTTATTAAGTGCCCCCCGCAAGGTACCTGGCACTTCATTTAAATTATCTCATTGCCTTCTCATAACAACCATGCAAGGGGCATAGTATCACTTCATCTTACATAAGAGGAAACTGAGGCTAAAAGAAATTGTGTGACCTCTTTTAGCTGAAGCTGAGGTCCTTTCCCTATTTATGTAGTCTCCTTAAAACACAATGCTTTGTCCTTACTCCTAAAAAGTGACACCAATGTCAGGTAACTTCATAACTTCTCTTTGATGTAGAAAGTAAGGGGAAGTGTTTCTGTTCAGGCAGTTACCAGATTCACTTCCCAAACTCTGCAACAGGAAGCTGGTGCAAACACACCAAAACATCATGCTCACAGCAGCCTGACTGCTTAGAAACCTCCAGCTCCAGATTATACCCTCCAAGGCTGACGGAAGCACTGCTGAAGGCACTTGCAAGGTATAAGGGTGCCACAATGGAGCGCTCCATCCCAGAGGCGAGGGTGATCCCAGGGACAAAGTGTTTGAAGAGCTCAGCAAATCATAAGGGGGAGGAAGAGGAAGAAGAGGGGAGGGGAGGGACTGGGACAGGATCCTTCCATCAAAATTGTCCTTCAACAACAAAGGTTGCCTAACCCTTCCTGATCAACGCAACCTCCACTTTTGGCTAGAAAGTGTCCTGGAATGGAAAAGAGAACTTAAGACCAAGGATTTGTATCCAGGATTTTAGAAGAGGAAGAGAAGTACATTTTAGCCCTGAAGTGTGAGACGTATTGCTTCTAAGAATAGAAAAAAGATAAAAATTATAACTGTTTTTAAAACATATACTACAGTTTTATAATAACAGCTGCTTTCCTCCCTCCTCCATCCCCCTCCTGCATAGAAAACACACTAACTGTACTAGTTAAATCCACAGTAATAGGTCAACTTAATATTAGTTTTTACTTTTTTTTTTGAGACACAGTCTTGTTCTGTCACCCAAGCTGAAGTGTAGTAGAGCGATCCCAGCTCACTGTAACCTCCACTTGCCGGGTTCAAGCGATTCTCCTGCCTCAGCCTCCCAAGTAGCCGGAACCACAGGTGCACGCCACCATGCCCAGCTAATTTTTGTATTTTTAATAGAGATGGAGTTTTGCCAGGCTGGTCTCGATCTTGTTGCCTTATGTGATCTGCCCACCTCAGCCTCCCAACATGTTGAGATTACAGGCATGAGCCATTGCCCTCTCTGTAGGGGACAGAAAAGGAGCAAGTCGTTAGACTTTCCAAAGAGTAGAAAAAAGAAAAGAACATGGCAAAACAGCATTTGGTTATCAGCAGGAGCAATGACTCAAATACAAGCATAACAAAGGAAGGGATGTGTGGTTGAGTCAAGAAAGTAGTGACTTGTGTGAAAACCAAAGAGGAGTGAATATTGTTCCTTCTGACCAATGAATGTAGACAGTCAGCGTGCTCGGAGCCTCATGGCATCCTGCTTTCCCCTGGGGCTGCTAGGGGGATTAGGTAAATATAAACGTCTTCAAATAACACAAGATGTGAAAAATAGAAAGCACAGCAAACTGGAATAGTCATCAGATGATATATCTAGGAGAGCTTATTCTGCAAACTAGAATTACAGAATAGAGAGATGTGGTCAATTAAGAGTATTTAAAGATGAGTTTCTATGATGAGGGTAGGTGACAAGAGGGAGTTGTAATCCAGGACAAAGAATCAGAAGAGACCACCATTCTCCAAAGACCAGGTGATGATTTTAATAAACTGGCTCATGTACTATCACCCCAACAGCTAGTTTCTATATCAAAATTAGTTCAAGATTTCAACAGGAGGAAGTGGTTTACAAAAGAATTACCAAGAATCCAGAAGTGTTTAATGGAAAAAAAAATGCTAATGAGGTAAAAGTTGATTTGTGTACTATTTAGACTACGCATTTTTTTTAAAAGGGGGGTGTCCTACCAGCAGGTAGGACCGTTAAAAAAAAGACACTGCTGCAAAATTCCTACACTCCCAGAGTTCTTCATGGCCTGCGACACACTGTCATGAACCTATCTCCTAGACTAGAGCCTCATAGTTACCTACTTAGATAGTGCAGGAATTATGCTCATTTTACAGATGGGAAACTGAGGCACAGAGAAGTAAAACAATTTTTGAAGGGTCACACAGCTAGTAGGTGACAGAGTTAAGTCCACCCTAGAGACTGCATTTTAAATGAGTCACTTGGTGCAATCACAAAAACAATTATTCTATGATCTGGGGGTTTTTCCCTAATGATTATTGAGATATAAACACGTTGCATGACTTTTTTATTTTAATCCTCAGAAAAACACTTTGAGATTTGTAATATTGTCCTTTTGGCACCAGCATTTATTAGGCTCTGTAACTTTAACAGCATCACTTAAAGTGAGGCATCTACTTCAGTTTCCTCCTCTCTTATTTTAATCTTCAGTTATTTTAAGGATTCAACTCATTTATTCATGAAAAGCACTTGGAATAGCACCTGGTACATGGTAGGGTTCTGTTGGTGTAAGCTGTTATCATTACTGCTGTTGCCCTGACCTGGTCAAAAACCTGAACTGTAGACATTCCCTTATTACCACACTAAGTCATCAATTTCTTTCTAGTGTTTACAATGTGCTTCAAAACAAATTAGTTTGCCAAATATAAAAGAAATACACCTAAATGAAAATATATGCCTTTAAATTAATGAAATGTAATTGTCGCTAGAACAGCGACTGGCACAAATTATTAGGTCATTGAATATTTCATAAGTGTATTAACAAATGAATGGGCAGCCGAGTAAAGGAATAAACGATCAAAAGTTCAAACAAGAAAGTGAATAACTAGTGGCTGGGCGCGGTGGCTCACAACTGTAATCCTAGCACTTTGGGAGGCCGAGGCAGGTGGACTGCCTGAGCTTAGGAGTTCAAGACCAGCCTGGGCAACATGGTGAAACCCCATCTCTACTAAAATACAAAAAATTAGTTGGGCATGGTGGCATGTGCCTGTAGTCCCAGCTACTCAGGAGGTTGAGGCAGGAGAATTGCTTGAACCGGGGAGGCAGAGGTTGCAGTGAGCAGAGATCGCACCACTGCACTCCAGCCTGGGCAACAGAGTGAGAATCCGTCTCCAAATAAAAAAGAATATGTAACAAACAAAATTATGAAAGCAAACAAAATTATGAAACTTAAATTAATCTGCAGAGCCTGGGAATAAATAAATAAAAAAGGAATAAAATGGAAAGCAACATTTTTTTATTTTCTAAGAATTGTTTTTCAATATTTCACTTAATTCACTGTAAACCATGTCTCTATTAAATGCAATTAACGTTTTTCAAAAGTAAGCAGTATGAAGTCACATAAAAAGCTAATAAAATCAACATCCAATCATAAGAGACCCTCACTGAAATCTTATTCAAAATTGAGGAAGTCTATAGTCACGTTTTTATTTCATCCTTAATTTCCCACGCTTTTCAAAGAGCCATATTATAACTCTTTCTCAAATATTTGGGAGGAAGTATTTTGATTGTGAAAATAGATGCTCCGAGAGTACCTAAGCCAAATAAATATTTACATTCTGCCTTTTTAGTTGAACAATTGACTTTGTTCTTTAGCATTTAGGTCAAAATACTTAAAAGTTTTAAAACATCAATAACAAGAGGATATGATTTTTCACCAGATAGTCTAAACTTACAGGTTTTAGCAAAACCTTCACAAGAAGGAATTGAGTAATTTAGAAATGTTAATGTACACACACCGTAAAAATAAAAAAAGGGGGTTGGGGTGTTGGCCACTTATTCTTTTTAACTAAAAAAAAGTCTCTCTTCCTCTTCCCTGTGTTTATGTAGTTAAGCCTTGGTGAGCATTTACAACCACTTACATCATTATAATGATAACCTCAATCTGCTGACTTTATGTAGGATTTATATCAAAAGAGTCTTGGAGCTTAGTATGCCTTATTTCATTTTCAGAGCATCCTTGTACATCACCATGTGACCAGTATCTTATCTGTATCATACAAAATTAAAACCAGATGTACTAGGAGACAAAGCAGCTTTCTCAAAGGAGATAAAGTCACATAATTATCAACTTAATGAAACTTGGCTTCAAACTCATGTCTTCTCTTAATACAGCCAAGTTTTTCCCCACTAGATTATTCTTCCTTTATATAAATTTAAGAAGTCATGGTGGCAGCTGAGCAGAAAGAACTGACTACCTGGAAAAACTCCAAGATTTTTTTGAGCTTGGGTTAACCTGACCCAGCAGAAGCTCTGAGACTTGGAAGAGAGGGAAGCAAGGCTATAAGAACTATTCATGTTTTTTGACACTGAGGAACACGTAAATTACTGATAACAGGTCAGCAAAATGAAAGTGTAAAAAAAGTGAGAAACATCAGTGTTTCATAATCAACTTTCATCATGGGCTTCACTGGAAACTCTTCTTCCAACTCTGAGCTGCATATCAAGCCTTGGAGCAAACACTCCTTCCATCTGAACTCTCCCTTGAGTTGTAGGAACTGCTCCTGTGGGTGCTAGAAAACAAGATTCTCCTGAAGCTGACTTAGAGCAGGTGGCTTTGTGTGAGGAAGACTGCAGAGGTGTGTCAGGTGTGTCCAGTTGCACTGAATTGTTCACATTTTTGACACTGGAATTTTGCACATTCTTTGGAAATAAGCCGTTCATTTGGATTCCCACAGTCACCTCTCCCAAGCCTGACTTGAGCTGCCAAGACTGAGTCACCTTCTCTACTCAGTGGGTCATATTACTGGTGGCAGGTTCCACCTGTTTTAGTATTTGCTTGAAAACAAAAGTGATCTTTGAGAGTTGAGTGACAGGGGCTGCTGAGCAGGCTTCCAAACCAATTGTGGGAGAGATCAAGATAACCAGTCACCTACAAGAGGAATTATGAAGACAACTAAGCCAAAAGAGAGTGTTCCAATAGATACCTTTGTCCCAATATCTTTCTTGGGATTAACCAGTGTTGGGCAAGGTTATCAGTTTAAACAGAAGTAGGAGAGGAAGTAAGCTTAAATTGCAGCAGAAAGAATGCTGGTCTGATAGACTGGAGAACTTCAGAACATGTTGGAGGAAAAAGAGTAGATCTCTACATAGATCTCTAAAGTAGACACCTGGAAATATATCCATCACGAGCCTGTCCAATACTAAAATTATCTGGGAGGAAACAGGCTTCAGCCAAACGAAGCACCTTTGAGAGAAAATCCAACCCTTAAGTTCTCTCATCCCTGCCCTCTACGACACCCCACTAACACTTGTTTTGCAAATAAATTGCTATATTCCTGAATATAATGCCAGAAACCAATTTCTTCCAGCACAGCTTTTCACCCTACTTAGCTTCTCAAAAGCATCACCCCTTTCCTACCATCTCCCATCAGTGGATGAAGTGATAGTCCCACTTAATAACTATTTAAGCAGTGGGCAAAGTTCTGTTATGCTCTATCTTAACCTTGCAAATCCAAGAAAGGGTTGTCAGCTCTTATAGAAACAGGAAACCATGTCAGCGTGTGGTAGAGAGAGCAAGTAGTTAAAGAGAAGCTCAAAGCCAGGCAGGATGGTGTTCACCTGTAGTCCCCAGCTACTTGGAGGCAGTGGAGGGAAGATGGCTTGAGCCCAGGAGTTCCAAGTTGTAGTGCACTATCATCATGCCACTGCATCTGCACTCCAGCCTGGGTGACAGAATGAAACTCTGTGTCTAAAAGAAAAAAAAGAAGAAGAAGCTCAAAGGACCTGGGCCTTCATTTCATCCTTGCCACTTGCCATTTGTGTGGCCTTGTGTTAGTGACTCGACAGCTCTCTACCTGCTTTCTCCCTCATAAAAACCTACTAATGTCGGAATGTGGCACTTGGCAGATTGTCTCTCTTCCTCCTGCACCTGGAAGGCATCAATAATCAACATTTCCACGGGTCACTCGTGTTAAAGGTTTCATGTCATTCCCTAAGGACATTTTTATTTCTGGAATATGTATATTCTGATCATTATGAGCCCAGGAAAAATCCAAGAGATGGTCAAGGCCATCAAGTTCAACACTCAATTTGCTTAAAGTCAACCCTTTATAAGTCAGCCAACATAGTGTTAATAATATTCATATATATGTGTGTGTGTGTTTATGTTATTAACATTATGTTGGCTGACTTATAGAGGATTAACTTTAAATAAATGTATCTATGTATATCTGTATATGTATAAACATGTATATATGTATATACACACAGACACATACATAGCCATATATATATATATATCTGAAATCTAGCCTCTCACAAAATAATTCACTTTAAGAAACAAGAGTAATTTTGTGATTGAAAATTATTTCAATGTAGGAATCATCAGCGAAATCAGTTAAAATGTAGACTTGGGGTAATTGTGTAGCATATCAGTCTAAGTCTGAATAATCTGTTATTTTCTTGATACTTTTCTTCAACTGCAATAAGCACTGATATTTACATGATATTAAAATACCTGTCTTTAAACCAGAACATTAAATGCTATCCCAATTCAGCATTTCTCTAGTTGAGGAAGAGGAAGCTGAAGGAAGAGGAGGCTGAGTTTTCATTAGATAATATTTGTGGTCTTTTTTATGATTATTGTGCTTAATCATATTATTGCTACATTATTACTAAATTTTTGTCTTCTATAAAACTTTAAGATCATGAAATAGCCAGGAAGGATGCAGGGATTGCTCTATCTTCATCAGCAAATGGGAGGAATGGCACAGGAAAATCAAAGAGTTTATCATAAATCACAAATATAGGTTTCTAAGATAAAAAGAGAGAGCAGAATTCCTGATCCCAAGCATGAAATCGGCCTCTTTTCTGTAACACATGTTTGAAGCGATCTAGTGGCCTTTTCTCCATGCCTCACAAGAATCAGGCACTGGAGAAATTACGTTGTTCTTCAGCCCCCTTATGTTTCACAGGTAACACTCTGAAGCCCACAGAATGTATGTGACTTGCCCAAGATCATGTGTTAGTAAGAGAGAATGAACTAGGACCTAGGCCTCCTTCCTACCTCCTCAACATGGCCCTTTCCCAGACACCACACTGCTCAGTTCCACATTCCATCATAGAGCAACTGGACTGGACTCGCCCATTCACTCAGCAAAAATGTACTGAGAACACACCTAACATGCTAAGTCCCGGATATAAGTCAAAAAAATGTAAGATTCCATCCTCCCCCTTCCCAAAGGAAACACAACAACAACAACAAAAATAGTCAAAATAAACAGGTAAATAGGTGAGGACAAGACTTAGCACAGGCTTTAAGATTGGACAGACCTGGACACACAGCCTGACTCTATGCTTTACTAATGGTGTGACCTTGAGCTTCTGTGTTCTCTTGTATAAAATTTTGTGAAAATTTTTCAGAGGTGGTTTGTGAGGATTAAATGTGATAGCCTTTATTTTCTTAAAATACCATAGTGTCTGGACTATACTATTACTATACTGCTATTACTCTAGTAAGGGGCTCAGCAATGGTGGTAATTACCACTACTACTGGCTGACATGAGGCTGACAGAGGGAGGAGTACTTGTGGTCCCTTTTCTTCATTCTCCCATCAGATAGCCTAGAGTCCTCACCTTCCTGCCATCTGTACCACACAAATGGGGAGAGTTATTGGTAAGTTACAAGGGGCCCAGGAATGCCTCACTTAATGGGTTCTGCCTGCAGCAGGACTTAGTATCTCTCAATCTCTCTCTCTCAATTTCTCAGGCTATCTCAGTAAACCACTGCTATTTAATTCTTCAGAGTCAATCAGTCATCCACCAGTCCAAACTTGTACACGTTCCTGCAAGATATAATTTGGAACCTTTGCCTAATAAGTTTTTATTAATAGTAAGATTATCAGACTAAGATGAAAACTGCTACACTAAAAAACAAAAAAGTATACTGAGAGCTTTCCTAGATATGCCCTTTATCCATTGTCTTTATAATTCATTTAACTTATAACAATGTAGGGCATTACATTAAAAAGCAACACGGGATCCTTACCCTCACAAGCTCTCCTGGAGGAGGGAGAATAAATACTGGTAAACACCAAGTAGTGAACATGGAAACATAAAGGCAGTTAGGGCTATATAAAGACAGGCACGTTAGTGTTCAGGAGGGAGAACATCTATAAGAAACAAGAGTTAGTAGAATGTTGGTCAGAAATGAAGCAGGACAGCACCTGTTTGGAAAGACTTCAAGGGAAGAGTTCTGAAGGGCAGTGGGTGATGAACAGAGAGGTGGCTTCAGGTTTGAAAAGAAATAACAAAGCAGGGATGTCAGGAGATAACAGGGAAAGTAACCCTCTAAGAGCAGAGAGCAAAGGTGAGGGGATTTGCAAATTCCTCCAGAACACTGCAGTACTCACACAGTCAGAGCAAACCAAAGAGTTAAATAAAACTGATTTATTAAGGCAGATGTGAATTATATTGCATTCTCTCCCCATTACTTGTTTATCTGTATTCATCAGGTAATGAGTCAGCTTTCTGTTCACGGTTATCACGAATGGGAATGAGAATGTTCCAAAGCCAAACCCCAACATATAACTTCAAAGGTCCAGAAGTGAATTATTGGCCCCATAGAGATCTCTGAAAGGTTAGAGACATCTAGGAATGACAGGATTCTTTAAAAATTATTAAAAATTATAAGAAGAGGATCTAGAAAATTACAGAAATACTTATTTTTTTAATTCTAAATGTTTTTGTTACCATGTCTTGCCACATATGACGGCAAGTTTTTAATAACTAGAAAGTTTATATTTTTGCTTTTTGTACAGCGTTTAATACAACAGCACCATGTTGTCAATGGATACTTTTATAAACATTTGTTGACTAACTTGGCTGTTCTTCTTACTACAGTCATGACACTCACACATATCCCTTTCAGAAACCTTGATTTGCTCCTCTACAAAGTCACTGCAGGCCACATCGGTGAAATTTATATAGGAAAATAATAATTCTCATTTAGCGAGCTCGTTTGATGTGACAGGCACTATTCTAGTGCTTTACTCATCATTTCCAATCCTTGATGATTAATGAATATCACTGTATGATAAAGCAGATGTCATTACAGATGAGAAAACAAGGGCTTAGAGAAGAGAAGCAACTTCCTCAAGGCACACAATTAGTATGTCACTGAGAGGAAACTACAGTCCAGCTCTACCTAATGTGAAAGAGAGAAGAAGGAAAGAAAGAAAAAAAGAGAGAAAGAAGGAAGGAAGGAAGGAAGGAAGGAAGGAAGGAAGGAAGGAAGGAAGGAAGGAAAGAAAGAAAGAAAGAAAGAAAGAAAAAAAAAGAGAAAGAGACAAGGAGGGAGGGAAAAGAGAACTATACCTCAAATTTTGAGAGTCACAGAGAGAAAGATAGATAGATCTAGAAAAAGGGAGGAAAAAAGTCATAAAAACAACTCACCCTTCTTAAACAAGGCACAGCTGAGAATTCAAATCAATTATATTTCCCAGCCCAGAAAATGTTTAGCAAACCACAGATTTTTTAGGGCTCCAGTATTATTCCACAGCACCTCTTTCCAAACACCCTTTTTCTTCTATTACTATATATTACTGGATATTTTTAGAAAATATTGGTAACTCATCAATGAATGTCTCCCTTCTCTCCCAGCAAGGAAGGGAGAGCAGGAGAAAGGAAGGAAGGAAGGAAGGAAGGAAGGGAGGGAGGGAGGGAGGGAGGGAGGGACCGTCTTCATAGACCTCTACAATAGTTTTTCAAATGAAAAATTAAATATCCAGTAAATAAGTCCCAACAGTCACCACACAAGATTGAAACCAGACTCTGAAGCCAGCTAAGAGCTCTTTTTCTCCATTTCCCAAAAAACAGTGATCACTGAGTCAGATATCTTCGGGTTACCTACACACCTGCAGCCATGTGCCAGGAGTTCTGCTACAGAGAGAAAATCAACCAGGTTGGAAATAATTGCAGCATAAGGTCTCACTTTATTGCCACTGATAAAAGAAATCTTACCAGTCAACAAAATCTCATAGCAACAATCCACAATGCCTCTTGCCACTTAGAAAGGTAGATCTTGTACAGAACACCTACCCTGTCCCTGCCCATCCCCCAGCTTGGCTCACTTCCAGTGGGAAGTGACTGTGTCTGGAAAGGAACTGGCCAACTTTGACAGCAGCCTCAACTCCCACAGCACACTGGCTCCGTGTTCTTTAGGATGGTGCCCTGGCTGGGCCACAGGAACAACATCAGCCTCTACAGAAGCAGTGGGGAAAGGCCAGTTGCACTGACATTGTTATTTCTGGACTGGTTAGCATGTCAGGGAACATGAGGCCATGCAAGGACTGAAAGAGGCTCTTGTTGAAATGGAGCTGCCTCTTTTCTTTCCCCACACTACTTCAAGGGGGAAGTGCACTGCTCCTGTGCCCCACTCATCTTCTTATCTGAACCTCCAAAAAATGACAACTACAACTTTGAGAATCCACTGTAACAGCAATGCCATGCAGATGATATTTTCAGCTGAATTGGACACTTAGAGCAATGCCCAAGGAGCTGGTTAAATAAGAAAGCCTATGTGAAGAGGCTGGGTAAGGTATGAAGCACTACAGAAATGTGCCTTTATGATATAAGCAGAAACAGGAGACTGATCAGGAGACATAGCTCAGCCTAGACAAAACCAAAGCAATGCTCATCACAATAGAAGGAAAGAAATCAAAATTCCAGAAGAAAGCCGGGGGGAGGGGGTGGCAGAGGGTGGACTTTAAAACGTCTTACCCTTCTTAAATAAGCCACAACTGTGGAATTCAGATCAATTCTATTTTCTAACCCAGAAGATGTTTAGCAGATCACAGATTTATTTGGGGCTCCAATATTATTCCACAGCCCCTCTTTCCAAACACCCTTCTTCTATTACTAAATGGTTAGGTTTCTTTTAGAAAATATTGATAACTTGTCACTGAATCTCTCCTTTCTCTCTCAGCTTGAATCTCCAGGGGAAAAAAATAACAAAAGAATAAAAAATAAAAGAAAGAACAGTGTGGTTTAAAAAAAAAAAGTGGGGACAGAAGACCTGAAATGTCTTAGATCTGAGATCTGACTTCCTCTTGTAGACATGTTTTCTTTATAAATTGCCTTTATGAACACCCGCTTAGTGGCTTCACGATCCTGCAGCCTTTCACTGTGGCACATGCTGACTTTTATGCGCCACAAGTTTCCCCTTTCCATCCCACTCACAATGCCTGGGTTCAATCCCTTGTCACCTTTTGCCTCACTGAGGGAGCGAACACCCCACTGCCCTACCTCCAGGATTGGTCTCTCCAAGCCACCCTCCATTCTGCCACCCAAGTAGCATCCTAAACTTTAAATCCCTTCATGTTCTCCTTTGTACCATTTTTCATTATCTATTCATTACCTATAGCAGTGGTTCTTAATGGTTTCTTGGAGATCTGATTACAGCTTTGGTCACTTTTTTTCATCCCTTGAAAACAAATCACCCATAAGCAATAAATCCTGAGTTAAGAACCCTTGGCCTAGAGCAGAGGTCTCCAAAGGGGTAAGCACCAGATGATACATATGGTATAGAAAAACAATGTTAGCATTCCGATTTTTCCATATTCCTACTCTTTAGCAAAACTAAAAAGAAAATAATTAGAAAGTAATTTAAATGTATGCATGTTGAGTGTATGGAATGATACTGATGCCCTCACCTAACCCAGCTGAGTTTCCCTGAAGGAAGAACTCTTAAAGGGTCCCACAAGTGAGAGGTGATGGGGGGATCCACATTTATTTCTTCACTCTCAGAATATTGGAATGAATTGCATTCTACATGCTAGAGGATGTTATCAATAGTTAATTTGATAAAATTAAGCCCTTTATATATAAAGAAGGTTCTTGGCAAGTCTTTTAAGTTTGATGAAAAAGTTTATTGAACTTAAAAGACTTGCCAAGAACCTACTTTATAAAGGGCTTAATTGTATCAAATTAACTGTCCTTACTAGTTGGCTAGTTATTTTGTAAGCAAATACTTAACAGTTATCCAACTAAAAGTGGACTTGCACATTTTTCTTTTACAAAAGACAAGGCTCCCAAGTTGTCTAACCTTTCCTGTGATGACTAGTGGCTGCCAGGATTATGCAGATATTTTCAGAAAAACGGATATGCTTAATGTCTTTTCAAGGTAAAGGTAACATTTTAATAGTGAATAAGAAAGTAACTGCTTTTCTAAATTAATTTGTTGCTTTGAAAATGGGTGTGCTAGCAGCTTCTGAGGTTGCCCCTGCTGATCTTCTCTTCCCGGTATCTATGTCCTTGTGTGATTCCCTGCCCTAGAATATGGACTGGACTTAGTAACTCTAATAAATAGGATTATGTAAAGAGTTACTTCTGAGATTATGTTACAGAAAGACTGAGACTTATATCTTATTCACCCTCTCTTACTCTCTCTTTATTGAGAAGCCCATGGCAAGGAACTACCACCTCTAGCCAACAGCTGACCAGGACCTGAGGCATGCCAACAGGCACGTGGGGGAACTTGGAAGCAGAGCCTCAGTCAATTTGGCCTTGAGCTGACTGGAAGGCCGGCCAACCCCTCAGTCACAGTTTTGTGGGAGACTCTGACCCAAAATAATGCAGCTAAGCCACTCCTGGGATCTGTGACCCACAGAAACTATGAGATAAGAAATGTCGGCTGGGCACGGTGGCTCATGCCTGTAAACCCAGCCGAGGCGGGCAGATCACGAGGTCAGGAGATCTTCCTGGCTAACACAGTGAAACCCCGTCTCTACTAAAAATACAAAAAATTAGCCAGGCATGGTGGTGGGTGCCTGTAGTGCCAGCTACTCGGGAGGCTGAGGCAAGAGAATGGCGTGAACCCGGGAGGCGGAGCTTGCAGTGAGCCGAGATCGCACCACTGCACTCCAGCCTGGGCGACAGAGCGAGACTCCGTCTCAAGAAAAAAAAAGAAAAGAAAAGAAATGTCTGTTGTTTTACCATACTAATTGTGGGGATGATTTGTTATGCAGCAAGAGATAACTCATACAATTGGGGAAATGTTTCCTCATCATTGATTTAATGGCTAAAAGTAATGTGACTGTGTCTCATTAAAAAAAAAAAAAAAAAACAAAACAAACAAAAAAACCTTTCCTATCTGCACATTAAAAAAAAGATGAGAAACAGAATTTTCTAGCCTGTGTCTAAATAATTCAGATTATGAATTTGAACCAACTACTAAAAATATTAAAATGCAACATCTTCCAAAGAGTTTACAAGAATGACTAAATGATATCAGGAAAAACAGAAAGTTATTAATTACATTTCAAGAAAAACCTAAGTACAGTGTTTAAGACTGAAAAAAAAAACTGCAAAAACTGCATTATGACTTAGTTATAATGCCAACAAACACTCCTTCAATCGGAACTGCACTTCACTATTTGTGAAGTGTCTTGATTTAATTAAAACTAGAAATCAAAATAAACTGAACTTAGAACCAGTCCTTTAAATTACCCCATCATAAAGTGTTAAATCAAATTTTTCAAAAACATATCTGCATTTTCAAACACATTATTCATTCTAATGTTTAAGAAAATTTTATAGGAGCAAAAACTAACATTATCTTTAAATATTTCCTATTTAATTACATCTGTGTGTATTTCCGAAGGGATATAAGAAACTAATCTGATAGTGTATATATAAAAATAAATATATGCAAATAAACACATATTTGAAGAGTATATGCTCAAGTTATTTTTACTGGTAGGTGTATGCAATTAAAAGAGTTTATATAGCCCTGACCTCAAAGACAATTCCAAATGCTTTCCCTCAGTTGGCACAACCTATCTTTTTAGTCCTGGTCTTAGAGCCACTTGCAATTCTCAGGACACGATTGACTGAGCTTAGAAGCAGATCCTGTTGCAGAAGTCCCTTTCTACACCACTACTCCTATACCCACTCCCAAGTCCATGGAAGAATTCCTCCTCATATTTCAACGCCTAGCTTACTTGTCAAACAATTCATAACATTTCCTCCCTCCTTCCCCTCCTTTCACCTCTTAATGCTCTCAAAGTTCCTTTTTAACCCTTTTATTACAGAACTTACCATCCTATGTTATATTTTAAGGATTTGTTTCTGTTCCATTTACCCTTAACAAACCAAGGGCTTTCTACAAAATTTGCTTAGTAGCAGGTAGTATGCTGAAAATGCTGTTGAATACATGAATTAATGGATGAACTAATTTTTTCAGAACTTTTTTCCTGTGGCTCAAACTATAGCAAGTTGAAAAGGGAATCTCCTGTCTTATTCCAGTCAGATATCTGTATATCTCACCACCAACATTTAACTTAATAATTATTTTTCCAAAAAAAATTAAAAATTAATTTAAGTAACAGATTCAGCATTTCTGAGCAGATTTCTTACAACCGTGTAAGCAGCAATATCCTATGGTAAGGAGCCAGACTGTGTCAGGTTAAATCCACCTTTGGCACCTATTAACTCTGTAATATTGGATATATTAAATATCCTCATTGCACCTCCATTTCCTCATCTGGTAAAATGGGGAAAATAAGATATGGCACAGACCTTATCTTATTAAAGGTCCATAAATGTTGCTTGTTATCCTGTTGACGTTTTGCAGATGTATTAAATAAATATTAAGTGCTAAATATACTCCCAGACTAAGCCTCCCTGGACCTCCAGTGAATGCACACAGCACACACAGAGATAAGCATGTTAAGGACAGGAGCTCTGTCTACTTTTATTTTCATTGTAGCCCTAGAACCTGGCACATAATAGGTGCTCAATTACTGTTTGTTGATTGATTTCAGAATTCCCCATACATTTCTGCCTTATACAGATTTGAATCCACATTGTAGTTTCAGACTACCCTTTCCAAAAGCATTCTCAGGATGGCTATTGTCAGAATCAGGATGTGGAAAAACAGTTAATGTGGTTATGTTGCAGGAAAAGCTGAGAAGAAGACCTGAAAGGAAATGACAGTTCAATAAAGACCAACATTCTATCAGTAAAATAATGGGAAATGATTCATAAACGCAGTATTTACACACAAGTACAAAATGTTCTAGTACTTCAGAAAGTAAAGAAGGTTCATTTAAAAACAAACAACAACCTTGGCAGACTCTAACATAGAATTAAAAACTTTTAAAAATTAAACCAATTCTATTGTCAGAATTCTTTTGATTGTCAGCAGACTAGAACAAGATTAACTAGTATAAGAAAGAAATTGTACGGTGTCACATAGGTGCCAAATTTAGAAGACTGTCTCGCCAACTTAAAGGTCTCTTCAGGTGGGCCCGTCCATCTCTCTACCCCTTTCTCCACACATCTGTTCATCCCTCTGACTCCAGCCTCTCTCTAGATTTTTAGTTTTTTATCTCTTACTACGGGCAAGTTTCCTTGATTTGGCAGTGGAAAAAAAAAGGGGGAGAAAGGCTGCAAATGACTGCAAGCAAACTGCATCCCAGCTCACTGGCCAGAGGTGAAAGGTTTCCTTTCCTCTTAGCTGCATATAGGGTGGGAAGGGATGCTGGGAAGACCGGACAATGTGCATCCACCACATCCAAAAAGGAAAACATGCTCAGAATTCTACTACCACACACAAACTACATCTCATCTTCACACTTCCTTCCAACATTAATGAATAACTTTTAATTACTATCCTGGTACATATTTTTTCTTTTGGCTTTTTGTCTTAAGCATTTTACCTGTTCCTCCAGAGGCTTTATAATGACCAGATTTAAGTGTCTAAAAGTCATTATGCAATAATTCACCTATCATTTCCTTAATGATTAAAATTTATGTAATTTCCAGATATAGCTACATTTAAAATACATTATAATTATTCTCCTCTTACCTGAAACATGTTACTTTAAAAAAGTATCTCCTTAAGATAATTCTCAGAAATTGAAATAATGGGTGCAATGTTAAGAACATTTATATAGATCTGGTTCTTAGGATACATTATCAAATTTTTGTTCAAAAAGTTGTATTAAATTTCAGTGTCTCCACAATACATACGTGCTGCAGCATCACCATATCTTCATCAGCAGTGAGAATCATATGCAGATAAACGTTTAAGTCATGGTTCCTAAACATTCTCACTAGCTCAGAATGCCGTCATTAATCCTACTACACTTATGGCCTGACCTCCTCACCTGGGAAGACACAGGAAACTGCCAAGCATAGTTCTAGCACACAGTAGGCACTCACTAAAAGTTAGATAAAATTTCAACTGAATGTATTATGTTCCTATTCATGTTTCCAGGGAAGATCAGCTTTTGAAATGTTAGCTTTGATCATACTAACTATAGAAAAAAGATAAGCAAAAAAATATATATCTTCTGGTTACTTCTATGAAAACCTAAGACAGAAGACACAGGACTTACCTTTTTATCTGTCTACTCCCTTGATCTTCTCTTATCTCTGTTTTGGCAGAAAGGACAAATAAATCTGAGGGTTTTGTATTTTTTTTACACAGAAGCATAATGCAATTAGCACTGGTCCTTTTTAAAGACTGTTGTATTTTTAAAGATTAACCAAGCCTACCGTTGCTTAATTAATGTTGTGGGTCAAAACCCTGGATGCCCATCAGAATGACCTGTAGTGGGATTTTAAAATGTAGATATCTAAACCTCTTCCCAAATCCTCTGGTTTAGAATCTCCAACAGGTGGAGCCAGGTATTTGTAATTTTTTAAATCTCCACGAGTGATTCTGACACACAGCCATGGTTTGAGAACCAAATAAATCAACCAGTAATGAGGCATGAGTATTAATGTCAGTTATTCTTAGCCCTTCAATTTAAATTGCAAGCTAAATTTATTAGGGTTTTTTCCTTCTCCCTTTCTGCTGTTTCATGTGTCCATGTGGAGAAGGTTCCACAATAGCAATACTCCCCTCTCTCAACCAGTGCGATTGCTCAGCACCTCTGCCTGCCCTCTGCAGACCAGCCTGCAGCACCCATTCTGTCCCCCTACCCCAGGAAGCCTGTAGTTCTTTAGGTTTCCAATGACTGGCAACTGGGGATGTCCTCTTACTGCCTGACTGAAGGACTGGCAAGTCCCCTGAGCTAACACATCCATGCCACATTCTCCAGAATCCACTGACCTCTGGGACCCTCTCTCAATCTCCTTGTCAGCAACTGGGCCAGGAAAAGCGTGCTTATTTCTTGGGCTCCCTCAAACCCCACCTCTAGTTGTCTGTCTATGCATTTCATCTTCCTCGCTAGACAACATGCTCATTGAGGGCAAGTTTGCATATCTCTCCCTATGGTTTGTAAGGCTCAGAGCTTAGCACATACAGATACCAGACAGGTACGTGAAGAGCAAACATGGGCAGAAAACTGAGGTCCAATCTACACCTACGCCATGCCAAACACCACGTGAAGCCTTTATCTACCTTAGTTCATGCTACCCATACACACTCCTATGAGATAGGATTTAACATTCCCAAATTGCAGGCAAGAATAGAAATGGTCATCAAATGAAGTTCAGTCCATCAAAGACTATAGGCAAGAGCATTAAAAAAGTGGGATTGCATTGCTCTTTTTCTACCTGCTGCCTAGTTTTCTTGAGATAATTTACTGTAAGCACATAGCCGGAAGTCCACATATCCCTTATATGACAGACATGTAGTTATCTAGAGATGTGTTCTCTGTTGGAAATTGTCTAATTGATGAGATCTGACCCAGACAAGTGTTTTCTTTCGATGTTGTTCATTATCATGCAATCTTGGTATTTTAAATAGGATTATGCCGTTTGGGCTGGGCACTTAAAATTTCCCTAAGGGCCAAGGCTGAGTAATTTTCAGGTAATGAGCTTTAATGTCCAAGGAAAGAGACATCCTGAATCACCTTCTGAACCTGTGCCATGAATCTGCTGTAAAACTCAGTATCAGTAGTTCTAGAACCTCACATAATTGATCTTGTGACTTGAAATTGAATCACTTTCAAGGTTTCTTCCAAAGTGGTTTTGCCCTCCTGAACCATACTCTATTACAGCTACACTTATCCAGTCAGCTGAAGAAAAAGAAAATGATAATTCTCTGGTGTTCCTGCCTTTGTTGAGCAGCCTTTAAAGTCACTCTGAGCCCATTTCACCCTCAAGAGCAGAGGCACGCCAGAGGCAAACTCTCCCAGCCTGGAAAAAAAAAAAAAACACTTAGGTAAAATGCAGAGGAAAAGGAGATCTTACTGCTCGTGAGCCAGACTTAGGGATTCAGTCTTTCATACTCCAGGGGCTCTGAGTCACTGTGCTGTGGAAGTGATCTGAGTTATATAAATCCTTGTGCACATCACCAGAGAGAGACTCTATGTCAGTGTGCAATATTAGTGTGCAAAGTATAGTAAAATCTGTGAAGCCAGACCCCACTAGTTCAAAACTAGGGATCATAAAACCTTATACCTGGCACTATCTCCTGTTACAGATGAGTAAACAGGCTCATAGAAGTTGAGTGACTTGCCGGAAACCACATGGGTATTGAGTAGCAGGACAGTAGTTTGAAGGTAGTTCTCCAGAATTTAAGTCCAGTGCTCTGTTTTTAAAGAATATTTCCTGTAAATGCAGGGAAAGCTGAAATTTAACTTTATTCTAAGAAAAATATCACTTATAATCTAAAAAAGCCTAACTGAGGATATAGGTGAGGGTAAGCAGAAAGAGATATGTTTTTCCTACTTAAAAGAGATTACTGGGCTTGAGGAAGAAGTAGGAGGTAAGAATTAGAGGTCCACTCTTGAATTTATCAGCTGGGTAATTGAGGGGAAGTTAGTTGACTTTCTAGTTGTGAATGTCCAGTTTTTGACCTATAAAATGGACCTACTCACAGGGTTATTACAATTATTAAATGAAAGAGTACAGATAAACTAGCTGAAACTTAGCAGGTGCTCAATAAATGTTGCTACTCTTCCTTGAAACAGCTATAAATTAACACATTATTCTTATCCATTCAGTAGAGAGCTCTCCCAAGGACTCTTACTTCATGTTTTTTGGCCTTTTATTGGGTCTACTTATTGGCTTAATTGTTTATTGTCTGCTTCCTCCTACTAGAAGGTAAGCTAAAAGATAGCAGGCCTTTTTCTATCCAGTTCCACTCTTTATTCTCAGTTCGTAGGACAGGACTTGACCGATAGTGACAATTAGAAAAATTTGCCAGGCCAGGCACGATGGCTCATGCCTGCAATCTCAGCACTTTGGAAGGATGAAGCAGGCGGATTGCTTAAGTTCAGGAGTTCAAGACCAGCCTGGGCAACATGGCGAAACCCTGTCTCTACAAAAAATACAAAAATTAGCTGGGCTTGGTGGCACATGCCTGTTAGTCTCAGCTACTTGGGAGGTTGAGGCAGGAGGATCATCTGAGTCTGGGAGGTGGAAGTTGCAGTGAGCCAAGATCACACCACTGTACTCCAGCCTGGATGACAGAGCCAGACCCTGCTTCAAAAAGAAAAAAAAGAAAGAAAGAGAGGAGAAAGAAAATAAAAAAATAAAGAGAGAGAGGGAGGGAGGGAGGGAGGGGGGGGAAGGGAGGGAGGGAGGGAAGGAAGGAAGGAAGGAAGGAGGCAGGGAGGGAGGGAGGGAGGGAAGGAGGGAGGGAGGGAAGGAAGGGAGGGGAAAGAAAGAAAGAGAAAAGGAAAGAAAGAAAGAAAGAAAGAAAGAAAGAAAGAAAGAAAGAAAGAAAGGAAAGAGGAAAAAGAAAGAAAGAGAGAGAAAAAAGGAAGAGAAAGCAAGCAAGCTTTGCCAAGTAACATAAAAGAATTAACAGCTTCATAGGGAGAAGTGAACCCACTTCCCCCACCATAATCCTTTTAAGAAAAGAAGATTTCACTAATTCTTTTATCCTAAATTTTTCCTGTGTACAGAACATGGTTTTATGCATATTTTAACTTATGTATGTATATGCATATATATCCAATATCAAAATAAAGTATATACCCTTTATGAGGTAGTTGTTGTCACTGAAGAAAGAATAGATACTTGGGGAGAAACAAAGAGAAGCTCAATATTAATCTACAAATGTCTTACTTCTTTTACATTAAAAATGATAGACAAAGTCAAACAAGAGCTAATTTAATCAGAGGGGTAGAAACTGTGTGGGAAAATGGCATTGATACAGAAGAAATAGAAGCTGACCCTGTCCTAACAAATTTATGAAGTAAATAGTCCTATTCCAAGTTTACAAATTGGGGAATTGAGGCTTAGCAACTTGTCTAAGATCAAGTAGGCAGCAAGCAGCTGGACCAGGTGGGGAAGTGAGGACAGGGGTTTAGCCATTTAGACCCAACTCATGCCTGGAGGACTCAGCTTGATTTCCCAGCAGATCAGATTACCATTAGCAGAATTCCCAGTGTATCTGCCTCTGGAAAAACCTATATGATCATCATTATTAGAGCAGTGTCATTCCCCAGAGGAGTGAGATCGCTGAATGTCCTTTAGACAAATGATGTATTTGTGACTCATTGCCCTATTATAAATAAAAACACTGTGTTAGCCAATTTTCACCCAGTTATGGTCATTAATAACCCCAAAAAATCTCACTGGCTTTTTAACAACCAAGGTTTACTTCGCATTCACATTTCATGTGTTGGCCATGACTGTGCTCCACATGGCTTTTTCTTTCAGGATCCAGGCTTGAAGAAAGAACTCCTCCGGGGAACATGCTGAACTTGTGGCAGGGGGAAAGCAGAGTGCCAACTGCCATGGCCCTTAAAGCATTTGCCTGGAACTTCTACTCAGACATGGCTTACATCACGTCCTTTCACTCCATTGGCCAAAGCAAGTCACATGGCCAAGTGAGAAGGATAGATAGAGTCCTTCCTCAGGGAATTACTATAAATCGTATGGCTACCTTGCTACCAGCAGGCATTATACAACCTTTAAAGGGTACAGTGAGTAGTTGTGAAAAATACTGTAATACAATATTCCATGGATACCATGTTCTCTGCTTTTGTAATCAACAGGTAGGGTTTCTGTTTTCGTTTCCAACAAACATACTAACACTTGCTTTTTATCATTTCCATAAATTATTTGTTTCAGAGGCAACAGGCTGCTGGAGAAAGTATTTAAATATTCCCTGAAGTTCCCAGAAACTTTCCTTTTCTGGGGGAAATGCAACAAATACTAAACATTCATGACCCATTCTAATATTGTTCTTCCAAAATTATCATGGCCACACCAGGCTGATTTAAATACATTATTGTAGACCCTTAGATTTTTGCTATGTAGTAATACTTCAAAGGAAACAAACAGCATAAATGCCCAGAGTGGGTTCATTTTGTTAAACAATGGTTTCGAATTTTCCCATTGTGGGTATTACAGTCTAAGTAGAAGGAAATTCAATTAGAAGTGTCTGTGCTTTATCTAATGCTCAGCTGTCACCATCTTGAAATTCTTCATAGTTTTTGAACAAATGATCCACATTTTCATTTCGCACTGGACTCCGCAAATTATATAGACAGTCTGGCTTAGAATAGATATTCCCTCTTCTGGAACATTTCCCAATACTTCCGGCGAAACCAGGTACCTCTCCTAGGTGCTCACATAAGGCCCTGTGACTATGGCCCTTGACGCCCTTTACTGAAATTTATAGACTGTCTTCCCGTCTGGCCCGTGTGTTCCTTGAAAGCAGGAACAATGACTAATTCAGCATTGTATTTTCAGCATATACTATGCAACAAATATTTGATGAATAAATTAGTATCAGACATTAGTGTACCTTTGTAAAATTCCCAGTTTGTGAAACTTTTTCTCTGGCAGCTGAAAAACTGCTCATTGCTGCTCTGGTGTTTTTCCTGTGCTCTTTGCCAGGCACTGCCAAGTAAACTGACAGCAGCAGAGTGCCATTTTCCTACACCGTCAGGCTGCTGTGACTTTCCCTAGAGGGACCTGAGCCTTCAGCTGGAGTCTCACATCACTTGGATCTGTCCCCCAGATTGACTTTTTTCCTCCCATACAATATAGAAAATCACATACAGTATTTCACTTATGTTTAATACTTGAAATCTGTGGCTACTGCCAAAAGCATAGGACAAATGCAAATTACCATAGTCCAAAGGAAAAACTAGAAATTTACAAAGAATGCATTTTTTCACATCCCACACAGTAATTAATGGGTCTATTTTCAATTAATAAGGTATTTCTGATGCACGAGAACTAAGTTCAAAATAAATTTCAGCAAACCATAAAAGGATCTACATCTCTTTATATATACTTATCTTTGAATAAAAATAAACTGGAGCATGCGTTACTCATGTAAAAACAAATCTGGACAGTTAACCAATAGCCAAGTTGGGGAAAATATCTGTAAAATCAGCACTCTGTAGACAGACGTATGCAGTACGGTAAAGCACACAGACTTGAAGTACAAACATCTGTGAGTTCAAATCCTGACTGCTATTTACTGGCTGTGTGATCTTGGGTCATTTATTGAAACCTCTCTGAGCCAGTTTCCTCATTTGAAAACTGTGGATAATAATGTCTGTCACCTCATAGGTCTGTTACAGAGATTAAGAAGAAGATATATATGCAGAGCACGTAGCACAGAGCCTGAAACTCAGAAAGCCTCAACAAGTCATATTCACACCCTTCCAGCAGCACTAATGCCCTAATTCCCTCACATTCCCTCCTCTGCCTCTGTCCCATTCACATTCTATTCCTCTCTCCCCCTTCTCCAGATTAATCTCTAGTTACAGATTTGGTTAATCCCCAATGCACAAAAGTCAATAAATTATCTTTTTAAAGGAATATTCTCAAGCCTTTGGTTTTTGTGGATTTATTTCTTCAGTAATGGAAAATTTTCTGTACTGTTTTTTGAAAATATATGAATAAACATACATCAAGGATGCCCTCTCTGACATCAGTAAGTAACTCAGAGATGTCAAATATGTAAAAATGAAGACTTGCTTTGCTTTACCGGAAAAGAAATGGTATCACCAATAACTTTCTGATAAGAGGTGCATTGTATACAACATGAACCTCTTAGATCATCTGAAGGGAACTGTTTTCTATGACATTTTTCCTCTCTAGTTACCTCAACATTCCTCATAAATAATATTTGACAGAAAAAAAATAACTCATAGTACAGCTATAAAAAAAATCTGTCTTCAAATATGCACATCTAATGTTTGCTACTAGGTTTAATTTTCTATGATTTCATCATCCAATAACTCAGGGAGAAAAATGCCTTAACATATCAATTACCAGGTATCTGCCTTGATCAAAATAGCCAGATAGTTACCAAAATCTTAATCTCACATAGAGTTACGTGGATAAGTAAAGTAATGACAGTATTTAACACCACCACAATTTGCTATGAATGAAATTTCCATATTATCAACAAACATCAATTGAGGAATCACTCTATATAGACTAGAATATTGTGCTATAGTGACACAGGTACCAGAATCTGAGACCACAAAAGCCTAGCCAGCCACTTTTTTACTCCACTCTGGAAAGTCTAAAGACTGAAGAGTAGAATCGTCCTTTAGAATGAAGGAGACTGAGAATTAAAGTCAGCAGAGCAGGATTTGAATTGTGGTACAAGCCGTCTGGTCAGACAGGCCTTGAACAAATCATTTAATATCTCTCTGAGCCCTTAATTTTCTCACTTAAAACAGAAACAAATATTATATCTCTTCTTTATTTCAAGAGGTTGGGATGCTTGAATGGAACTATGCATAGGAAAGAATTTTATGAAATATTATGTGAATATGAAGTTGTTTTGTTTGAAATGCTGAAACGAACTGAAGTCCTGTGTCACATTCAAACGTTTGTTAGAGTCACAGGTCCAGCCCATATTCAAGGGGAGGGGATTAGACAAGGACATGGATGCCAGGAAGAGGGGATCAGTGGCAGCAACCTCAGAGGCTGCTACCACATCCATTTTCAAAACAGCAAATTAAGTTAGAAAAGCAGTTGCTTTCTCATTCACTATTAAAATGTCATTTTTACCTTGAAGAGACGTATTAAGCATATTTGTTTTTCTGAAAATATTTGCATAATCCTGGCAGCCACTAGTCATCACAGGATAAGTTAGACAACTTAGGAGCCTTGTATTTTGTAAATGAAAAATGTATAAGTCAACTTTCAGTTGGATAACTTTTAAGCCTTTGGGATAGGTCCCTATAGATGTGCTCACTGTGGAACATATATAAACTATGATTGTGTTGTAAAATTGTATTTAATGTGTGTATCTATCTATCTATATATTTCACATATTACATAATTTATTGTAAATAACCTGAAATATATACCAAAATGTTAATAGTAGTTATCTTTAGATGGTAGAATTACGGGTTATTTTTTCATTTTACTTTATTCTTGTTAGTTTTCTCTTTTTTAGTTGGTGCTGTTGTCTTATGTTTTTGCTTTTGAAATGAAATTGTATTATTTCTGATCATAAGAATATAAAACATTGTAGACAGTATAAAAAGACATAAATTAAAAAGTGAAAATCTCTCACAGTCTCACCACTGGAAGATACCACTCTTAACATTTTGATGCTATCCTTCCAAACTTATTTCTACACATCCCCCTACACACACACACACACACACACACACACACAAACTATAAAAAGAGGATCATACATGCATTTTTTTTAACTAACAGACTTTATTTCTTAGATCAGTTTTAGGACTACAGAAACATTAACCAGAAGGTGTAGAGAGTTCCTATATATTCCCATTCTGTTCACCACCAATTTCCCCTATTATTAACAACTTGCTTTGGTGTGGTACATTTACTACAATTGATAAACTAATATTGATACATTACTACCTAAAATGTATATTAAGATTCATTCCTCTATGGGTTTTGCCAAATGTATGATGTCAGGTATCCACCATTACAGCAACATGCAGAATAGTTTCATTGCCCTAAAAATTCTCTGCACTCCACTTATCTATCCCTCCCTGACTTCCCTCCAATCCCTGCCAATCACAGATCTTTTTACTGTCTCCATGGTTTTGCCCCTCCCAGAATGTCATATACTTGTAGTTATAGAGTATGTAGCCTTTTAGAATGCCAAATGCTATTTTTTCACCTAGCAATATGCATGTAGGATTCTTCAGTGTTTTTTCATGGCTTAATAGCTCATTTATTTTTATAACTGAATAATGTTCCATTATCTGGATATACTTCAGTTTGTTTTATCCTCATTTACTTGAGGACATCTTGGTTGCTTCCAATTTTTGACAACTATGAATAAAGCTACTGCAAACATTTATGTACAGGTTTTTGTGTGAAGTTAAGTTTGAGTAAATACCTAGGAGTACAATTGCTGGATCATATGATAAGAGGATGCTTAGTTTTGTAAGAAAGTGTCAAACTGTCTTCCAAAATGGCTGTAGTAATCTGCCTTTTGATAAACAATTTATTGTGGGCATCTTCCCATATAAATAAATAATAACTGCATAGCATTCCATAGCATTCCACATTGCATAGCATTCTACTGTAGCTTATTTAACCATTTCTCTATTAATGGACATCAAGATCATTTCCAGTTATTTACTATTGCAAACAATGCTGAGATAAACATTTTTGTACATACATTCTTATCTTTGAACACTTGTGCAATTATATCCTTTTAGGGAAAAAAATCCAAGGAAATTTAAAAGGCATAAACATATTCAGTTTTAATGAAAGGCTGTACAAATTCACACTCCCATTAGCAGTAAATGAGAATGTTGTATATTCCCATTGCCTCCCATAACAATCCTCTTAGGGCTTACCAATCCAATGGGTAAAACATTGCATATCAATGCAATTTCAGCTGACCTTTCCTTTTTACCCAAAAGGTTTAACATCTCTTCCCTTTTTTTAGTTATTTGCATTTCTTTCCTTGTGAACTGTGTTCATAGGCTTTTTACTTTTGCTATTGAGTATGCAAAAATATGTTGCTTTTTAAAGCTTTCTATATACCTTAGTCTGCTCTCTAACAGGCAGTTTATTAGAATATATACTATCAATTTAATAGTTCCTAAGAGCAAGGAGAAAGAGACATCACCACATTAAATGTATACACTAACTTCAGAAGGAGGGCAGGGACTAGAATAAGGAAATACAGTATTTCTGTGATATGTATTTTTTTAATTTAACTTTTATGGGTGGTGATTTTAATTTTTTATTTTGTTTTATTTTTGCCACCTCAAACTTTTATATTGTCAAATCTGTGGACCATTCTGTTCATTTTTTGAAAGAGAGTGGGGACTAGAATAAGGAAATATAGTATTTCTGTAATATGTATTTTTTTAACTTTTATTGGTGGTGATTTTAATTTTTTATTTATTTTGTTTTATTTTTGCCACCTCAAACTTTTATATGGTCTAATCTGTGGACCATTCTGTTCATTTTCTGGCTTTATTATGCTTTAAGAGGCCTTCTCTAGTCAAAGGCTGTATAAAAATATATACTTAAACATTCTTCAGCTGTTTAATGTGTGTGGTTTAACATGAAAACTTTTTATCCATTTGTAATTTTTGTCTGGATAAGGTGAGATCCCAACTTACCTTTTTCCCCCAAAATGGCTAGCAAGTTGTTCCAGCACTCTTTAAAAACAGTCCATTTTCTTGGCCACTTTATCACATGCTAAATCTTCACATATATTTGAGCCAATTTCTGAACTCAATATTTTGTTCTATTTTTCTGTGTCTCTTTGAAGTTACGACCACACTGTTTTAATTACTGTAGCTTTTAATATCGATAGCCACATGACTCACCTTCTCCAGGTCTTTACTCAAATACCACCTTGTCTGTGAGATCTTGCCTGAGCACCCTATTCACAGCTGCCACTTCCGTCTACTTCCATCCCCTGTCCAAACCCTGGAACTCTACAGCCCCTTCTTTGCTTTATTCTTCTCCTTAACATTTTGCACCATCTGACATCCTATCTATTTTACTTATTCATTTGCATATTGTTTATATCTCCAAATGAGATGATAAGTTCCATGACAACAGAGATTTTTGTCTATTTTTGTCTATTGGTGCCTAGAACAGTGGCTAGAACACCGCCAAGCACAGAGTAGATCCCCAAACATATTTATTGAATGAATCCATGTCTGGTGGAGAAAAACATTCTACATATAACCACTATCCTTCTTTCTGAGAATTCACCAACTCAATTCACATACCAGTTTTCCATGAAATATAGGATTAAAGATCCTATGAATTTCATATTAAGAATATTCTTAATAATTTTGTGATATTTTGTTACCACGAATTCATTTACACAACAAATGTTTATGGTGTCTACTATGTGTCAGACCCTGTTATAGGAGCTGGGGATGCAGCTGTGAAAAAAAAATGGTTTCTGTCCTCATGCAGTGTATGTTCTAGTGAGAATAAATTTCTTTTTCCTTTATATTTTATTATTGGTAATGTTTGGTATATAAGAAAGCTATTGAGTTTCATATATTTTAACTTTTAACTTGTCTTTTTACTAAATTTTTTATTGTTTCAAAAAGTATTACAATTGATTTTGTAGTTTTACTAAATAGACAATTGTATCACCTACTGAGAGTAATAATTTTGTCCTTTCCTTCCCAAAAGCACATACTTCTAGTTGATTTTCCCCTTTTATCCATTAGCACAATGAAGCATTTCATTATAATCTCTGTATTTACCCACACTTGCATTTCTGGAAATTAAATCCATTTTTAAGGTCTGAAAGAAAGTCAGAAAATTTTTTTTAATCTTTAGGCCGGTATAATATATCAGAAGTTTTAATTCAGGTGAATCAAAATATCTGATAGGATACAATTTACAACAGTTGCATGCAACTGATGCAAAAGTCATTCTCAGGAAATATTAATTTTTCTCTCATTCCTGGCAGTTTGTTGATATAAAATTGAAAAAAAAAAAGGAGAAGGATGAAGCTGATTTATGTTTAGGAGGCTAAGTAATTCATTGAATCTCCTACTGCTGAATCTAATTTAAAAATATATATAACCATATTTCTCCATTGAAAATTAGAAAACATTAAATCTACTTATTTATTTTATATTACTTTCTATTTGCCAATTATCTCTGCAAACATTGAAGTGCTAAATACTTCGATTGTATACGCAAGCGTACTGAAATAAGGCTGCATAAGTAAAGTTTTACACCACGTCTGCAAACTAAAATTTCCTGGGGTGTTACATTTTTCCTAATAAAATAAAACAGAGGTTAAGAAATATGATTCAGTGGCCATTTCTACAGCTGAAGTATATGAGACTGCAGCCCTAGGTGTCTTGCCCACGCTCATCTAGCAGACGGCAGAGCCTAGACTCAAACTCTGGTTTTCTGCTACACATCAAGTATTCCTTCTACAGTGCTCTTCCTTTCACTCAGCATTATCTACATAATTAGAAACACTTGAATTTCTTTCCCCATCTGCCTAGAAATTTTCCCCAATTATTACCTTTGCATATTATTTTGGTAGAAAATTATCTCTTATAAAACTCACATGTAGCTTTCAATTTTATGGCATTCTTTTCCTGCAAGTTCATATAATTAATACATGTTTGAAACCAGTAAATTCTTACAACAGGCCTATGTGTAGGGAAGCAGAAATGATGAGTCTTCTGTGATATAAATCAACATTCTAATAGTTAAAAAATAGGTGCACCCATTCATAAGTGTCACAAAGCACTCCACACTGAATAGGAAGGGATATCTGAGTGGCACTGATAACAGCCAAGCCTGAAGAGGAGGCACAACAGCCCATTACAAGCTATTGAAAAGTTCCATAAGAAAAAAAAAAAATGACATACAGCAGGAAATTCCTGACCAGTAGTGTAATTTCTTACATAAATGTGTTGGCAGATAAATGGATTTCTATGACTTTGCTTACGTCTGCTGCTTACTGCCCCTTTAGATATGTCACTTTGCAAATGTATTATAACTTCACTCTGACTCTATTTAATGGTATGATTCAATAAATTGTAGGTTCATCTTAATCTCCTCAAAATACTCTTGGCCTTTTGCCCAAAAGTGGGGGAAGGAATTAGTAACTAAAATAGCAAGAGAAGCTTGCTGTCAGTTAGTCTCCTGGAAAAGTACTATACTGAAGATTCAATATAGCAATACTGTAACTTACTAAGATGGTATATAAGGAATTAGACAGTGGAAAATTTAAGGTACAGATTAAGATTACAGCTACAGGACTATAAACATGGCACTAAAAAGTAAATGAGGCCAGGTGCCTCATTTAGCTGGGTGTGGTGGCATGTGCCTGTAGTGCCAGCTGCTTGGGAGGCTGAAGTGGGAGCATCACTTACGCTCAGGAGGTCAAGGCTGTTGTGAGCCGAGATCACACCACTGCACTCCAGCCTCAGCAACAGAGTAAGACCCTGTCTCAAAAAAAAAAAAAAAAAAAAAAAAGGGCCGGGCGCAGTGGCTCACGCCTGTAATCCCAGCACTTTGGGAGGCCAAGGCAGGCGGATTACCTGAGGTCAGGAGTTCAAGACCAGCCTGGCCAACATGGAAAACCCCATCTCTACCAAAAATACAAAAATTAGCTGGGCGTGGTGGTGGGCGCCTGTAATCCCAGCTACTCAGGAGACTGAGGCAGGAAAATCACTTGAACCTGGGACGTGGAGGTTGCAGTGAGCTGAGATTGTGCCATTGCCCTCCAGCCTGGGCAACAGAGCAAGGCCCCATCTAAAAAAAAAAAAAAAAAAAAGGACTAAATATGTACCGAACTCCATGTATATGAAAATACTGACCTAGATGTCTTCTTTATATAATTTCATGTTATTTTTATAACAATACTGTAAAATAAGCATTATGCCCTCCTTAGAGCTCAGAAAACCGAGTTTCTATGAGATTATATTACACAATTGATGCCCTCCCATTTCCTAGGTAGACCCAGATGTAGTAATACATGGATCTTCCACTTTCAGCCTGTGTAATCCTGAACAAGTCACTGAAAATCTGGGAGCCTCATTTTCCTCACCTGAAAAATGAGTAATGAGACCTACCTTACTACTTCCAAAAGTTATCACAAATACACTTAATAAACTACAAAACAAAACACAAGTGGTGGTTACTCTTATTAATACAAACAACTAGTTAATAAGAGAAAGTGATAGAGACTGATTTCTAAACTGTTTCCTGACACTTTGTTTTCAAATGCTTGATGATGCAATACTGAGCTGTGTTTTCCCAGCAAGGTCTTTGGGGTTGTCAATGAATCATTTCCTTCACATTCACATGAAAGATATGCCTGGGTAGATCAGGTTCCCACCCTGTTTTATCTTAACAACCCATACATTGCAGGTAAGCAAACAATTAGTATTGTTCAGAATTTCACTTACAGAAATCTAACATTCCCTCTCTGCAGATATTTTTCAGCACAAAGAACGGGGACTTTTGGGTCATTGACCTACTGACACTGCATTTACAATGACAAGTTCTATGTCTGCAACGTAAAAGGCAAGAAGACTAAATCTGTTTTCCATTTTTCTTGTGAACTAAACTGGGTTTTCAAAGAATACCTTATGTGGATCTACAACATAAAAGACAGCAAAATAAATATTTTATTAGAATATTTTATCAGTTCAACTTTGTAACATATATTATAAGATTAATCAATGGTAACAATAAGTTTTAAGGAACATAAATTTGAAATTGAAGATTATTCATGACAGTAATAACAAATCTAAAAATAACCTCAGTATCCAATTTATTTTATCTTGCTGTTTGGTTTTTACTAAACTAAGTCTGATTCATAAGCAATTGCATATGAGAACAGTTTTTTAATATTTTGCCACATTTATTCCATTTATTCATCAAACCATCCATTCATCCTTCTATTTTTCATTTGTTTACTGAACCATTTCAAAGTAAATTATAGATAATAGCATGCCTCCCTCGTAAACCTCTTGGCATGCATCTTTTAAAAATTAGGGAGTTTTCTTAACATAGCCACAATACCATTATCACTCCTAAAAATTTAGGGATTCCTATAATAATAATTCTAATATCTAGTCCTTATTCAGAATCCCAATTGTCCCTCAAACTTGTTCTCCCAACAGGATCCAATACGGAATTACACATTGTTTTCATGTTTACATCTCTCAAGTTTAGTTTATCTTAATATAGCTCCCCCTGTGCCCCATCACCTGCTCTTTTTCCCATCCCACTGACCTGAAGAGACCAGAGTAGTGCCCCACATTCTGGAATTTTTTTGAGGGTTATGCCCAATTCTTTCATTTATTTATTTGCTTTTAATTTTAAATTCAAGAGGTATATGTGCAGGTTTATTACATGGGTATAATACCTGATGCTAAAGTTTGAGCTTCTAATGATCCCATAAACCAAGTAGTGAACATAGTACCCTTGCTCCCTCTGTCTCTCCCTCCTTTTGGAATCCCCAGTGTCTATTTTTCCCATCTTTGTGTCCAAGTGTACCCAATGTTTAGCTCCCACTTAAAAGTAAGAACATGTGGTATTTGGTTTTGTTTCTGCATTAATTTACTTAGGATAATGGCCTCCAGATGCATCTACGTTACTGCAAAGGGCATGAATACATTCTTCTCTGTGGCTGCATTGTGAACCTGGTGGATATTCACCACATTTTTTTAGTCCAGTCTACCGCTGGTGGGCACCTAGGTTGATTCCATGTCTTTGCTATTGTGAATAGTGCCATGGTAAGCATAGCAGTGCAGGTGTCTTTTTGGTGGAACGATTTATTTTCCTTTGGGTATATACCCAGTAATGGGATTGCTGGGTTGAATGGTAGTTCTATTATTAGTTCTTTGAGAAATCTTCGAACTGCTTTCCACAGGCGGTGAATTCATTTGCATTCCCACCAGCAGTGTATAAGCATTCTCTTTTATCTTCATTCTTGCCAGTATCTGTTGTTTTCTGAAATTCTGATAATAGCCACTCTGATTGGTGTGAGATAGTATCTCATTATGGTTTACATTTGTGTGTGTGTCTCTTTTTTTTTTTTGAGACAGAGTCTCGCTCCATCTGTAACCCAGGCTGGAGTGCAATGGCACGATCTCAGCTCACTGCAATCTCCAACTCCCAGGTTCAAGCAATTCTCCTGCTTTAGCCTCCCGAGGAGCTTGGACTACAGGCATGCACCACCACACCACACTCGGTTAATTTTTGTACTTTTAGTAGAGATGGGGTTTTGCCATGTTGGCCAGGCTGGTCTCAAACTCCTGACCTCAGGTGATCTGCCTCGGCCTCCCAAAGTGCTGGGATTACAGGCGTGGGCCACTGCACCTGGCCTGTGTCTCTCTTATGATTAGTGGTGCTGAACATTTTTTTATTTGTTGGCCACTTGTATGTCTTTTGAGGAGTGTCAGTTCAAGTCCTCTGCCTACTTTTTAATGGGGCTATTTGTTTTTTCTTGTTGATTTGTTTAAATTACTTATAGATTGTGGATATTAGTCCTTTGTCAGACACATAGTTTGCAAACATTTACTCCCATTCTGTGTGTTGTCTGTTTATTCTGTTGATAGTTTCTTTTGCTGTGCAAAAGCTCTTTAGTTTAATCAGGACCTAATTGTCCATTTTTGTTTTTGTCATGTTAGCTTTCAAGGACTTAGTCATAAATTCTTTGCCTTAATCAATGTCTAGAAAAGTATTTTCTAGTTTTTCTTCTAGGATTTTTATAATTTGAGGTCTTACATTTAAGACTTCAATTCATCTTGGTTAATTTTTGTATATGGTGAGAGGTACGGGTCCAGTTTCATTCTTCCGTGTATAGCTAGCCATTTATTGAATAGAGTGTCCTTTCCACATTGTTATTGTTGACTTTGTCAAATATTAGTTAGTTGTAGGTGTGCAGCTTTATTTCTGGGTTCTCTATTCTATTCATTGGTCTATGTGTCCATTTTTGTACCAGTACCATGCTGTTTAGGTTACTGCATCCTTGTAGTATAGCTTGAAGTCAAGTAATGTGATTCCTCCAGCTTTATTCTTTTTGCTTAGAATTGTCTTGATTATTTGGGCTCTTTTTTGGTTCCATATGAATTTTGGAACAGTTATTTCTAATTCTGTGAACAGTGACTCACAATTTGATAGGAATAGCATCGAATTTGTAGATGTGTTTGGGCAGTATAAACATTCCAACGATACTGATTCCTCCAATCCATAAGCATAGAATGTTTTTCCGTTTGTTTGTGTCATCTGCGATTTCTTTCAGTAGTGTTTTGCAGTTCTCCTTGTACAGATCTTTAACCTCCTTGGTTAGATATATTGCCGGATATTTTATTTTTTGTGTGTGTGGCTACCATAAATGATATTGCATTTTTAATTTGCTTCTGAGCTGAATGTCATTGGGTATGGAAATGCTACTGATATGTGTACATTGATTTTGTATCCTGAGACTGCTGAGGTTGTTTATCAGATCTAGGAGTCTTTGGGGAGAATCTTTAGGATTTTCTAGGTATAGAATCTTATTGTCAGCAAAGAAAGATAATTTGACTTATTTTTTCCTATTTGGGTACCTTTTATTTCTTTGTCTTGTCTGATTACTCTGGCTAGGGCTTCCAGTACTATGTTGAATAGGAGTAGTTAGAGTGTACATCCTTGTTTTATTCCAGTTCTTAAGGGGCAATGCTTCCATCTTCCCATTGAGTAAGATGTTGGCTGTGAGTCTGTCATAGATGGCTCATTATTTTGAGGTATGTTCCTTCAATGCCTAGATTGTTGAGGGCTTTTATCATAAAGAGATGTGCCCGGGAGCCAAGATGGCCAAATAGGAACAGCTCCGGTCTATGGCTCCTAGCGTGAGCCACACAAAAGACAGGTGATTTCTGCATTTCCACCTGAGGTACCAGGTTTATCTCACTAGGGAGTGCCAGACAGTGGGCACAGGACAGTGGGTGCAGCGCATCATGTGCGAGCCAAAGCAGGGCGAGGCATTGCCTCACTCAGGAAGCACAAGGGGTCAGGGAGTTCCCTTTCCTAGTCAAAGAAAGGGGTGACAGATGGCACCTGGAAAATCGGGTCACTCCCACCCTAATAACTGCGCTTTTCTGACCGGCTTAAAAAATGGCACACCAGGAGATTATATCCCGCACATGGCTCGGAGGGTCCTACACCCACGGAGTCTCGCTGATTGCTAGCACAGCAGTCTGAGATCAAACTGCAAGGTGGCAGCGAGGCTCAGGGAGGGGCACCTGCCATTGCCCAGGCTCACTTAGGTAAACAAAGCAGCCAGGAAGCGTGAACTGGGTAGAGCCCACCACAGCTCAAGGAGGCCTGCCTGCCTCTGTAGGCTCCACCTCTGGGGGCAGAGCACAGACAGACAAAAAGACAGCAGTAACCTCTGAAGACTTAAACGTCCCTGCCTGACAGCTTTGAAGAGAGCAGTGGTTCTCCCAGCACGCAGCTGGAGATCTGAGAACGGGCAGACTGCCTCCTCAAGTGGGTCCCTGACCCCTGACCCCCGAGCACCCTAACTGAGAGGCACCCCCCAGTAGGGGCAGACTGACACCTCACACAGCCAGGTACTCCTCTGAGACAAAACTTCCAGAGGAACGATCAGACAGCAGCATTCGCGGTTCATGAAAATCCACTGTTCTGCATCCACCGCTGCTGGTACCCAGGCAAACAGGGTCTGGAGTGGACTTCTAGCAAACTCCAATAGACCTGCAGCTGAGGGTCCTGTCTGTTAGAAGGAAAACTAACAAACAGAAAGGACATCCACACCAAAAACCCATCTGTAAGTCACCATCATCAAAAACCAGAAGTAGATCAAACCACAAAGATGGGGAAAAAGCAGAGCAGAAAAACTGGAAACTCTAAAAAGCAGAGTGCCACTCCTCCTCCAAAGGAACCCAGCTCCTCACCAGCAATGGAACAAAGCTGGACGGAGAATGACTTTGACGAGTTGAGAGAAGAAGGCTTCAGACGATCAAACTACTCAGAGCTTCAGGAGGAAATTCAAACCAAAGGCAAAGCAGTTGAAAACTTTGAAAAAAATTTAGATGAATGTATAACTAGAATATCCAATACAGAGAAGTGCTTAAAGGAGCTAATGGAGCTGAAAGCCAAGGCTCAAGAACAACGGGAAGAATGCAGAGGCCTCAGGAGCCGATGCGATCAACTGGAAGAAAGGGTATCAGTGATGGAAGATGAAATGAATGAAATGAAGTGAGAAGAGAAGTTTAGAGAAAAAAGAATAAAAAGAAATGAACAAAGCCTCCAAGAAATATGGGACTATGTGAAAAGACCAAATCTACGTCTGATTGGTGTACCTGAAAGTGATGGGGAGAATGGAACCAAGTTGGAAAACACTCTGCAGGATAATATCCATGAGAACTTCCCCAATCTAGCAAGGCAGGCCAACATTCAGATTCAGGAAATACAGAGAACGCCACAAAGATACTCCTCGAGAAGAGCAACTCCAAGACACATAATTGTCAGATTCACCAAAGTTGAAATGAAGGAAAAAATGTTAAGGGCAGCCAGAGAGAAAGCTCGGGTTACCCACAAAGGGAAGCCCATCAGACTAACAGCGGATCTCTCGGCAGAAACTCTACAAGCCAGAAGAGAGTGGGGGCCAATATTCAACATTCTTAAAGAAAAGAATTTTCAACCCAGAATTTCATATCCAACCAAACTAAGCTTCATAAGTGAAGGAGAAATAAAATACTTTACAGACAAGCAAATGCTGAGAGATTTTGTCAACCAGGCCTGCCCTAAAAGAGCTCCTGAAGGAAGCACTAAACATGGAAAGGAACAACCGGTACCAGCCACTGCAAAATCATGCCAAATTGTAAAGACCATCGAGGCTAGGAAGAAACTGCATCAACTAACGAGCAAAATAAGCAGCTAACATCATAATGACAGGATCAAATTCACACATAACAATATTAGCTTTAAATGTAAATGGGCTAAATGCCCCAATTGAAAGACACAGACTGGCAAATTGGATAGAGTCAAGACCCATCAGTGTGCTGTATTCAGGAAACCCATCTCACGTGCAGAGACACACATAGGCTCAAAATAAAAGGATGGAGGAAGATCTACCAAGCAAATGGAAAACAAAAAAAGGCAGGGGTTGCAATATTAGCCTCTGATAAAACAGACTTTAAACCAACAAACATCAAAAGAAACAAAGAAGGCCATTACATAATGGTAAAGGGATCAATTCAACAAGAAAAGCTAACTATCCTAAATGCATATGCACCCAATACAGGAGCACCCAGATTCATAAAGCAAGTCCTGAGTGACCTACAAAGAGACTTAGACTCCCACACATTAATAGTGGGCGACTTTAACACCACACTGTCAACATTAGACAGATCAACGAGACAGAAAGTTAACAAGGATACACAGGAATTGAACTCAGCTCTGCACCAAGCAGACCTAATAGACATCTACAGAACTCTCCACCCCAAATCAACAGAATATACATTTTTTTCAGCACCACACCTATTCCAAAATTGAACACATAGTTGGAAGTAAAGCACTCCTCAGCAAATGTAAAAGATCAGAAATTATAACAAACTGTCTCTCAGACCACAGTGCAATCAAACTAGAACTCAGGATTAAGAAACTCACTCAAAACCACTCAACTACATGGAAACTGAACAACCTGCTCCTGAATGACTACTGGGTACATAATGAAATGAAGGCAGAAATAAAGATGTTCTTTGAAACCAATGAGAACAAAGACACAACATACCAGAATCTCTGGGACACATTCAAAGCAGTGTGTAGAGGGAAATTTATAGCACTAAATGCCCACAAGAGAAAGCAGGAAAGATCCAAAATTGACGCCCTAACATCACAATTAAAACAACTAGAAAAGCAAGAGTAAACACATTCAAAAGCTAGCAGAAGGCAAGAAACAACTAAAATCAGAGCAGAACTGAAGGAAATAGAGACACAAAAAACCCTTCAAAAAATTAATGAATCCAGGAGCCGATTTTTTGAAAGGACCAACAAAACTGATAGACCGCTAGCAAGACTAATAAAGAAGAAAAGAGAGAAGAATCAAATAGACGCAATAAAACATGATAAAGGGGATATCACCACTGATCCCACAGAACTACAAACTACCATCAGAAAATACTACAAACACCTCTACGCAAATAAACTAGAATATCTAGAAGAAATGGATAAATTCCTCAACACACACACCCTGCCAAGACTAAACCAGGAAGAAGTTGAATCTCTGAATAGACCAATAACAGGCTCTGAAATTGTTGCAATAATCAATAGCTTACCAACCAAAAAGAGTCCAGGACCAGATGGATTCACAGCCGAATTCTACCAGATGTACAAGGAGGAATTGGTACCATTCCTTCTGAAACCATTCCAATCAATAGAAAAAGAGGGAATCCTCCCTCACTCATTTTATGAGGCCAGCATCATCCTGATACCAAAGCCAGGCAGAGACACAACCAAAAAAGAGAATTTTAGACCAATATCCTTGATGAACATTGATGCAAAAGTCGTCAGTAAAAAACTGGCAAACCGAATCCAGCAGCACATCGAAAAGCTTATCCACCATGATCAAGTGGGCTTCATCCCTGGGATGCAAGCCTGGTTCAATATATGCAAATCAATAAATCTAATCCAGCATATAAACAGAACCAAAGTCAAAAACCACATGATTATCTCAATAAATGCAGAAAAGGCCTTTGACAAAATTCAACAACGCTTCATGCTAAAAACTCTCAATAAATTAGGTATTGATGGGACGTATCTCAAAATAATAAGAGCTGTCTATGACAAACCCACAGCCAATATCATACTGAATGGGCAAAAACTGGAAGCATTCCCTTTGAAAACTGGCACAAGACAGGGATGCCCTCTCTCACCACTCCTATTCAACATAGTGTTGGAAGTTCTGGCCAGGGCAATCAGGCAGGAGAAGGAAATAAAGGGTATTCAGTTAGGAAAAGAGGAAGTCAAATTGTCCCTGTTTGCAGATGACATGATTGTATATCTAGAAAACCCCATTGTCTCAGCCCAAAATCTCCTTAAGCTGATAAGCAACATCAGCAAGGTCTCAGGATACAAAACCAATGTACAAAAATCACAAGCATTCTTATACACCAATAACAGACAAACAGAGAGCCAAATCATGAGTGCACTCCCATTCACAATTGCTTCAAAGAGAATAAAATACCTAGGAGTCCAACTTACAAGGGACATGAAGGACCTCTTCAAGGAGAACCACAAACCACTGCTCAATGAAATAAAAGAGGATACAAACAAATGGAAGAACATTCCATGCTCATGGGTAGGAAGAATCAATATCATGAAAATGGCCATACTGCCCAAGGTAATTTATAGATTCATTGCTATCCCCATCAAGCTACCAATGACTTTCTTCACAGAATTGGAAAAAACTAAAGTTCATATGGAACCAAAAAAGAGCCCGCATCGTCAAGTCAATCCTAAGCCAAAAGAACAAAGCTGGAGGCATCACGCTACCTGACTTCAAACTATACTACAAGACTACAGTAACCAAAACAGCATGGTACTGGTACCAAAACAGAGATATAGATCAACGGAACAGAACAGAACCCTCAGAAATAATGCCACATATCTACAACTACCTGATCTTTGACAAACCTGAGAAAAACAAGCAATGGGGAAAGGATTCCCTATTTAATAAATGGTGCTGGGAAAACTGGCTAGCCATATGTAGAAAGCTGAAACTGGATCCCTTCCTTACACCTTATACAAAAATTAATTCAAGATGGATTAAAGACTTAAACGTTAGACCTAAAACCATAAAAACCCTAGAAGAAAACCTAGGCATTACCATTCAGGACATAGGCATGGGCAAGGACTTCATGTCTAAAACACCAAAACCAATGGCAACAAAAGCCAAAATTGACAAATGGGATCTAATTCAACTAAAGAGCTTCTGCACAGCAAAAGAAACCATCATCAGAGTGAACAGGCAACCTATAAAATGGGAGAAAATTTTCGCAACCTACTCATCTGACAAAGGGCTAATATCCAGAATCTACAATGAACTCAAACAAATTTACAAGAAAAAAACAAACAACCCCATCAAAAAGTGGGCGAAGGACATGAACAGACACTTCTCAAAAGAAGACATTTATGCAGCCAAAAAACACATGAAAAAATGCTCACCATCACTGTGCATCAGAGAAATGCAAATGAAAACCACAATGAGATACCATCTCACACCAGTTACAATGGCAATCATTAAAAAGTCAGGAAACAACAGGTGCTGGAGAGGATGTGGAGAAATAGGAACACTTTTACACTGTTGGTGGGACTATAAACTAGTTCAACCATTGTGGAAGTCAGTGTGGTGATTCCTCAGGGATCTAGAACTAGAAATACCATTTGACCCAGCCATCCCACTACTGGGTATATACCCAAATGACTATAAATCATGCTGCTATAAAGACACATGCACATGTATGTTTATTGCGGCATTATTCACAATAGCAAAGACTTGGAACCAACCCAAATGTCCAACAATGATAGACTGGATTAAGAAAATGTGGCACATATACACAATGGAATACTATGCAGCCATAAAAAATGATGAGTTCATGTCCTTTGTAGGGACATGGATGAAATTGGAAATCATCATTCTCAGTAAACTATCACAAGAACAAAAAACCAAACACCGCATATTCTCACTCATAGGTGGGAATTGAACAATGAGACACATGGACACATGAAGGGGAATATCACACTCTGGGGACTGTGGTGGGGTGGGGGGAGCGGGGAGGGATAGCATTGGGAGATATACCTAAGGCTAGATGACAAGTTAGTGGGTGCAGTGCACCAGCATGGCACATGTATACATATGTAACTAACCTGCACAATGTGCACATGTACCCTAAAACTTAAAGTATAATAAAAATAATAATAATAATAAAAATAAAAAATAAAAAAATAAAATAATTAAAAAAAATTAAAAAAAAATGATGAGTTCATGTCCTTTGTAGGGATACAGATGAAATTGGAAATCATCATTCTCAGTAAACTATCACAAGAACAAAAAACCAAACACTGCATATTCTCACTCATAGGTGGGAATTGAACAATGAGAACACATGGACACAGGAAGGGGAACATCACACTCTGGGGACTGTTGTGGGGTGGGGGGAGTGGGGAGGGATAGCTTTAGGAGATATACCTAATGCTAAATGACGAGTTAATGGGTGCAGCACACCACCATGGCATATGTATACATATGGTAACTAACGTGCACATTGTGCACATGTACCTTAAAACTTAAAGTATAATAATAAAAAAAGAACATAAAAAAATAATAAAAAAATAAAAAATTTTAAAAAAAGGAGATGTTGTATTTTATCAAACGCTTTTTCTGCATCTATTAAGATGATCATATGATTTTGGTTTTTAATTGTTTACATGTTTTTAATTCTGCATATGTTGAACCATCCTTACATTCCCCAGAATAAAGCCCACTTGATTGCAGGGAATTCACTTTTTGATACGCTGCTGGATCTGGTTTGCTAGTATTTTATTGTGGATTTTGCATCTATGTTCACCAACGATATTGGCCTGTAGTTTTTCTTTTTTGTTATGTCTTTGCCAGATTTTGGTATCAGGATGATAATGAGTTTATAGAATAAGTTAGGGGGAAGCCTCTACTCCTTGATTTTTTGGAATAGCTTCAGAAGGATTGGAACCAGCTCTTCTTTGTACTTCTGGTAGAATTCAGCTGTGAATCCATCTGGTCCAGGGGTTTTTTTGCATGGTAGGTATTTTATTATTTATTCAATTTCATTCCTCGTTAATGGTCTGTTTAGGATTTCTATTTCTTCTTGTTTCCATCTTGGGAGGTTGTGTGTTTCCAGGAATTTCTCCATTTCCTCTAGATTTTCTAGTTTATGTGCATAGAGATGTTCATAGTGTCTCCAAGGATCTTTTGTATTTCTATGGAATCAGTGATGATGTCACCTTTCTCATTTCTAATTGTGCTTATTTGGATCTTCTCTCTTTTTTGAGTCTAGTTAGCAGTCTATCAATCTTGTTTAACCTTTCAAAAAACCAATTTTTCATTTCATTGATCCTTTGTACTTTTTCTTGGGTTTCAATTTTGTTTAGTTCTGTTCTAGTTTTAGTTATTTCTTTTCTTCTGCTAAGCTTTGGGATTAGTTTGCTCTTGTTTTTCTAGTTCCTTTAGATGCAAGTTTAGGTTGTTAATTGAGATCTTTGTATCTTCTTGATGTAATCATTTAGTGTTGTAAACTTTCCTCTTACCACTGCTTTTGCCATATGCCAGAGGTTTTGGTATGTTGTGTCTATTTTCATTGTCTCAAAGAATTTTTTTATTTCTGCTTTAACTTCATTGAAGTCATTCAGGAGCAAGTTATTTAATTTCCATGTATTTGTGTAGTTTTGAGTGTTCCTCTTGGTATTGATTTCTATTTTTATTCCACTGAGATCTAAGAAGATACTTGGCTTGATTTTCAGGTTTTTAAAAAAATTTATTGAGACTTGCTTTATGACCAAGCATGTGGTCAATCTTAGAGTATGTTCTATCTGCAGATTAGAAGAATGCATTCTGTGGTTGTTGGGTAGCGTGTTCTGTAGATGTATATATCAGGTCCAATTGGTCAAGTGTTGAATTTAAGTCCAGAATTTGTTAGTTTTCTGCCCCAATGAGTGTCTAATGCTGTCGGTGGGGTGTTGAAGTCCACCACTACTATTATGTGGCTGTCAAAGTCTTTTCTTAGGTCTAGAAGTAATTGTTTTATAAATCTGGGTGCTCCAATGTTGGGTGCCTATTTATTTAGAGTACTTAAGTCTTCTTGTTGAATTCAAGCCTTTATCACTATGTAATGCCCTTCTTTGTCCTTCTTTACTGTTGTTGGTTTAAAGTCTATTCTATCTGATACAAGAAGAGCTCCTCTTTTCTTTCCATTTGTGTGATAGATCCTTCTCCATCCCTTTACTTTGAGACTCTGGGCATCATTATATGTCAAATGGGTCTCTTAAAAACACTAGAAAGGTGCATCTTTTTTTTTTTTAATCCAATTTGCCACTCTATATATTTTAAATAGAGTATTTATGCCATTTATGTTCAAGGTTAATATTGATAGGTGAGGTTTTGTTCCTGTCACACTGGTGTTAACTAGTTGCTCTGTAATCACAATTGTGTAGTTGCTTTATAGAATCTATGAGTTATGTGCTTGTGTCTGGTTTTGTGACAGCAAGTATTGTTCTTTTGTTTCCTTGTTTAGAATTCCTTTAAGGATCTCTCGTAGGGCCAGTCTGGTGGTGATGAATTCCCTTAGCGATTGAAGATCAAGGAAAGACTTTATTTCTCCTTGATTTATGAAGCTTAGTTTGGTGGGATATGAAATTCTTAGCTGGCATTTATTTTCTTTAAGAATGCTAAAAATGGGCCTGCAATCTCTTCTGGTTTGTAAAGTTTCTGCTGAGAAGTCCACTGTTAGTCTGATGGATTTCTCTTTACAGGTAATACGACTCTTTTGTCCAGCTGCCTTTAAGATTTTTTTCTTTTCCATGACCCTGCGTAGTCTGATAACTATGTGCCTTGGGGATGGTCATTTTATATAGTATCTTGGAGGAGTTCCATGGATTTCTTGTCTCTGCATGTTGATCTCTCTAGCAAGATTGGGGAAATTTTCCTCAATTATATCCTTGAATATGTTTTCCAAGTTGCTTACCTTCTCTTCTCAGAAATGCTAATAAGTTACAGATTTGGTTGCTTTACATAATCCCATATTTCTCAAAGCCTTTGGAGAACAGTTTTTCTTTACTTGCATGTTTTGTTTTGTTCTGTTTTGTTGTAGTGACAGGTTTGGTTGTGTTCATGTTTAACAGCTTATATCTGCTTTCGGTCAAGCAATTAGCCAGGGAGACTTTGTTAGAGAATGTGCACATAAAGAAGTTAACCTAGCCAGCCAGGTGTGGTGGCTCATGCCTGTAATCCCAGCACTTTGGGAGGCCAAGGCAGGTGGATCACCTGAGGTCAGGACCAGCCTGGCCAACATGGTGAAATCCTGTCTCTACTAAAAATAGAAAAAATTAGCCAGCTGTGGTAGTGGGCGCCTGTAATTCCAGCCACTCAGGGGCTGATGCAGGAGAACTGCTTGAACCCAGGAGGCAGAGGTTGCAGTGAGCCAAGATCACACTATTGCACTCCAGCCTGGGCAACAAGAGTGAAACTCTGTCTAAAGAAAAAAAAAGTTAACCTCATCATACAACTTAGCATCACCATTATTTAATATTGTTTAGAGATATGTGCAGATAAAATGATTGCTTAGCTGGAGAACTCAAGAGAATCAGCTGAAAAACTATTACAAATAGTGAAAGAATCCAGCATGGGGCCCAGGTAAGAAATATAATATGGAAAAATCAATACTATTCTTACATTTGAACCACAACCAGAAGACATAATAGAAGGAATCATTCTATTCACAAAGAGGGCAAAAAGATAAAAAATTCCAAGAGACAAACTTAACAGTAATTTTTTTAAAGACTGAAGCAAATTGAATTATGTTTTTCATTTTAAAGACTTGGCATCTTAGGCCCGGTGCGGTGGCTAATGCCTGTAATCCCAGCACTTTGGCAGGCCGAGGCGGGCAGATCACTTAAGGTCAGGAGTTCAAGAACAGCCTGGCCAACATGGTGAAACCCAGTCTCCACTAAAAACACAAAAATTAGCCAGGAGTGGTGGTGGATACCTGTAGTCCCAACTACTCGGGAGGCTGAGGCAGAAGAATTGCTTGAACCTGGGAAGCAGAAGTTGCAAGGAAACGAGATGGAGTCACTACACTCCAGCCTGGGTGACAGAGCAAGACTCCACCTCAAAAAAAAAAAAAAAAAAAAAGATGTTGATTCTTTCAGAGCTATTTTATAAATACTCTATTGTGAATCACATCCCCAAAATTATTAGTAGGATTTTCAAATTAAACAAGTTGATTTTAAAGTTCCTACGTAAATCTAAAAAAGCAATAAGAGCCAGGAAAAAGCATCTAGGGAAAAATAAGAAGATGAATGAGGAAGGACTGATAATACCAATTATTAAAATTGGAGAGACAGAGAAGGAACAAAGAGAGGGAGGGAAGGAGGGAAAGGAGAAAAAAAGAAACCCTACCTTTTATAACTGCTATCTAGGAAATACATTAAGTGAACTTTTTAATATAAATATATTACCTTTCCCCTCCTCTCCACCTCACTGATATACAAATACCTCGTTAACTTAACGGAATAAATGAGCAATTATAAATGGAATAAATGAACAACTAACAAGTAGCTTTTAATCTTAAATTAAGCACAATTTTAATAAAACTAGGAAATATAAAATCTACTAAAATCCTTAATATAATCCCTGGCACATAGAGGCACGCACTCAAGAAATATTTGTTGAATAAATAGTAAGTAGTAGAGATATTTGGTAAATTGTCTTTTGGAGTCCTAATGCCACTGAATGGATTTAGACATTATGCTAATATGTGGGATTTTTTTAAAGGTAATTAATTAGTATTATTTTTTAAACTCAATTTTGAAAAGCTGAAATTATAGGAATCAGGACCAAAAGTTTCAATTCAAAAGTAACGAAAAAAGGAAATAAATTTTATATTTTTAAGTAAATATAGCAAAAATATTCTAATTGTTCTCCTGTGGTCACTTGGTCATACAAAATCCCCAAAATGTATTATAAAAAGACACATCATTCATTGTAGCATTATAATTATAGCAGCAAAAGTCTAAAAAAAAACCCTAAATATCCATCAATGGAGGACAGATTCTGAACAAATCCTGGTACATTTATGCAATGGAATACCATTTAGTTATTTTAAAAAATAAAGTAGATCTCTGTGTGCTGATGTGGAAGAACCAAGATATCTTGTTAACTTTCAAAAAGCATGGAGCTGAACAAGGAGCCATGGAATGCACCTTACCAGGGGCTCTCGAGTCAGTGTGTAAGGCTAAAATTTAATATAATCCTAATGTCCCTCAAAGATCCCCCAGGGTAATGCCAGTTTGGAAGCATTACGAACACTCCCTCAGTAAATGTTGCACAGAGCTAGTGTTTCCTTTGGCACTAAAAGGCTCTTGTATTTCTTCATTTGCACACCAGATGAAGCTGGCTCGCACAGGGACCACGTTTGTGATAAATACAGTCTTTAAAAGTTAGCCTCTATCCAGCCTTAAAAATGAAGGAAATCTAACCATTTGCTACAACATGGATGAACCAGGAGGACATTATCCTAAGTGAATTAAGCCAGACACAGAAGGCCAAATACTGTATAATTCCACTTATATGAAGTATCCAGTCAAACTCATGGAAACAGAGAGCAGAAGGGTTTCTGGGGGCTGGGAGAAAGGGGAAATTGTGAGGTGCTACTCAATAGGTATAAACCTTCAGTTATATAAGACAAATGAATTCTAGAGATCTGCTGTACAACACTGTGCCTATATTGTATTGTATTGTATACTCAAAAATCTGTTAAGAGAGCAAATCTCACATTAAATGTGAGACCTACAGGCACAATGGCATATGCCTGTAGTCCCTGCTACTCAGGAGGTTGAGGCAAGAGTATAGCTTGAGCCCAGGTGTTTGAGTCCAGTGTGGGCAATATAGCAAGACCCTGTCTCTAAAAAAAAAAAAAAAAAGAAAGAAAGATTAAAAAATGTTTTTACCACAGTAAAATACACTTTAAAAAAAAAAAAAAAAAAGCTAGCCTCACCCCAGGCTCAGGGCTGTGCATGCTAAGAGTGAGTCCAGCTAAAGGAGCAACATGCTGGTGTGACTGTCTCCTGCTCAGTCATCAAGTAGAATGTCATGTGGATCAGCAGCATTGATTCTTTCCTGCTTTGGTTTGTTTTGTTTTATACTATTTTTGTTTTGTCACATATATGCATTACAATAATATAAGTCAATTCACCTATAGAACATCTCCACTGTAAAATTCTCCTATTTGTGTAAAATAAATAAATAAAAGAACACATATCCACAAATATACCCAGCTATACACAGATTTTTCTGGAGGTACATTCAAGAAACTGGAAATACAGGTTATTTTTGCCAAGAACAACAAGGAATCTGGAGAACTGGAGTCAGAAGACATTTTGCACTCTAATATTTTTGTATTACTTGAATTTTATCATGTATATGAATTACTTTTTTAAAAAACCTACCAGTAAAAATGCCGTGTTTAAAAATAAATAAAATCTAATGATTTAAGATATAAGTGTAGACTAAATACCTACTTACCTCCCACTAATAACAACTTACTCCATCTCTAATTCTTAACCTTTGGGGGTCTTATGGAATCTTTGGAAATTTGGTAAGAACTACAACCTTTTCCCCAGTAGAAGACATATACATACACATATAACCATGAAGTCCATAAATTTAAAATTTATAGCTGTTGTACTACAACATTTATCTGTGGGATTCTTGCCAAAAATGTTTAACCTGAATCTATTCATGAAGATATAATCTGATGAATCAAACATATGGGGCATTCTTCAATACAACCAGCATAGACTCAAAAAATTCCATGTCATAAAACAAAGGAAACTAAAAACATAAATCCAAAAAGACTAAGAGACACAACAACTAAGTACAATGTAAGAATATTGGTCAAATCATGAATCAGGGAGGGAAAAAAACTATAAAAGATATATTTGAAACAATAAGAGAAATCCAAACTCTGGATTCTGTATTAGATGATATCATGGAATTATTATTTATTTTATAAGTGTAATGATGCCGTTAAACAACTGAGGGGTGAAAAGTCATGATGTCTGCAACTTATTTTTATGGTTCAAAAAAGTATACCCAGGGATAGTGCAAATGAATGTGACTAAAGGTTAACAACTGCTGAAGCTACATAAAGGGCATATGGGTACCCACTGTACTATTTTTCTAACTTTCCTGTAAGCCTGAAATTTTCCTATATATAAAGTTGAAGGCAAAAAAAAAATGCTAAAAAAACTTCACTCTCCTATAAAACTTCACTCTCCTATAATTCTAACACAGCACCCACCACCAAATTTCCCCTCTCCCACTTACTCTTGTGGCTTTCCATCTCCTTCTTTCTTGCCAAGAGGAAATCTAGCACTTGATTTGTTTCTTCCAAAATTATTATGAAGCATAAACAATGTCTCAACTTGGACTGTCTCTTTTTTTGTGTCTCTCTTGGTTAAGCTACGAGCTTGGTGAGAGAGGTCAGGAACTACACTTTTGTCGTCTTTATAACCCCAGTGTCAGAACACAATAAGAAGAGTCAATAAACATGAGGTGAACTGAAACTTTGGACCAGTTCACTGAACTTTAGTACCTATTGTGCTATTCTTTAGCAAATTGGGTAACAGATAATATGGAAGGATTTTTTAAAATGCTGAAACTAAACCACTAAAATAAAATACTAGAGTTACTTCTTCCTTGAGTATGGAGAAAATGAGCCTTGCTTTTAAGAAGCTATGTACCACATTAGCAAAAGTCTGGAAATACAAAGCACACTCAAAATTAATAAAGTTAAGATTTTCACGCTGCCATTTGTGCAAGTCACTGGCTTTATCTGACTTCTACCTGTTAGTTTTTTTATTCTCTAATTCTATATTGACAACATTTTCTGTGATGATGGAGGTGAAGAGCCTGTCACTGGCAACATAGCACCATCCTCGTTTAGAGTAAATAAAACTATTTAAAGCAAATTGGAAACTGAATGACAGAAAGTGCCACAGATGGACCACACTGGGAACAGGAGTGGAATGCCGCGTTGTTCATCATCCCCACCATCCAAGAATGAAGTTGGCAACAAAATGCTGGCAGTAGACCAGAGTGGACCATCACTGTGTATACAAGACAATCCAAATGAATTGTACTATCCTTTGAGATTAAGAAGAAGCTCATGGACTTTCCACTAAAATAAAAATCAAATCTATCAATTGCCATTAGTGTTTCGCTTTTTAAAAAATGTTTCCCCTTAACTTGAGTCATTATTGCTCATTATTTTTTCCTCTTTCTTTTCATGTACCTTCTTTTCTCTTTGGAGATGTCTCTAGAATGGAAATACATGGAACTCATCCAATTGACACTTAAATTCTGTAACCTCTATGATACAAAGTTACTTCGTTTACCATAAAGCTTAAGCGCCCCAATGCAGACTCTTTATTAAAGTCATGATAATTCAGAAACTGAGTTGGATTTAAATAAAAGTATTGCTAAAAGCATCATGAATGGCAAAAGTCTGAGGACTTCTTTCTTTCTAGGGTGAAAGGACCAAAGGTTAACACTTTGCTGCCTACCTATAGAAAATTGCTTATTCTTTTAAAGACCAAGTATTCCTTTGTCCTGTTCTCCTTCTTGCTATTAATCCAGGAAGACATCAGAGGAGAATGAAAGAAGAAAGGTTTATGAGAACCGAGCAGTGCTCAGACAAGAACTCTACCCACTGAAGTCAACTGGGTAATTTACATTTACCTATGCAGTAGTAGGTCTACCCAGCCTTGCTCTGCATAAAATGTGTACAACTCTCCCAAACTGATGTATGACCTGTTGCATAATTACCCCTCATTACATAATTGATCTTACCTCCTGCGATTCCTTTCCCTATAACCACTATTCATTGCTCCGAGCCTGGAAGATCAGATATTCAAATTTACCAGCTCAGGCTCCATGTTCCTACCGGAACTCTTGACCTGGTTACAGGAAGGAAAAATAGTGACACACTTTTCACTGCCTAAATGTTTCAGCCCCATTTCTTTCTGATTTGAGAGCCCACTGAAATCCATTATCTTGGTTAAGCTTAAAAAAAAAAAAAAAAAAAAAAAAGAAGAAGATACCTGTGGCTGGGGTAATAGCGGGGTATACTGGCTCAAGATGGGTTGTACCAGAAATAATTGGTGATGCAAAATATATTCCCTATCCTAGCCTACCCTTTTCTATCTTCAGTTTCTTTCTGTATTTTTCTGCTCTTTTACCCTTTTTTCTCCCTTTCCACCCCTTCCACACCCTATGCTTCTGTCAATGACTGCCAAAGATACCACAATTGGTAAAGTTATTTCTGTTCCCTTCTCCTTTTCATTCGTCAGGTAGTGGCAGCAAAAAGGTTTAATCCAAGTTAGTGTAGACTAACCAACTTATCTAAGTGCTCTGATATTTACTGAGTAGTGCTCTGTACTAGATGCAGTGAAAGCGAAGAGGAGGAAGCCTTCATCCTTGCCTGCAAGAAGTCTACACTCCAAAGGGGGGAAACAAGCATGCAAACAACTAAATCTAATACAAGAGATAGGAACACAGAGGGAAAAGCAACTAAATGCCAATGAGGAGATAGTTTCACTAATCCCTACCAGGAAATTATACTACAGAGAAATTTTTTTCTAAGAACACTTAGGAAGACCAAAGTGCAAATTAAGTTTCACTGGATGTCATGCAAGGAATCCTCAAGCTCAAAGAGCATCTCTCCTCTCAAGTTTTTGCACAGGGTGGGGAATTGCACAGTACAAATGCTTATTCTTTATTTTTTGGCTCAGTATATTTTTATTTAATTTTTATAGATACACAATAGTTGTACATATTTATGGGGCACATGTAAAGTTTTGATAACTTACAATGCATAATGATCAAATCAGGGTAATTGGTATATTCATCACCTCAAGCATTTAATATTTGTGTTAGGAACATTTCAATTCCAATCTTGATTTTGAAATATACAATAAGTTATAGTTAACTCAAACGTCTACTCTTTAGCACAAAAGTAACTGAATAGATAGAAAACCAGAGGAACTACTTACAAGTGTTATGTTTCCACCTGTGGTGACTCTATTTTGAGAACAGAACTTATTTTGCCTCTTCCAAAAAAAATGGTACAAACGAAGCTGTGCAAATTGACTAGGGTTGCACAAACAAGCTAAGCATCCAGGTCTATATAACATTAAAAAAGGGAGTAGATATCTGACTGGTAAGTTACCCCTCTTTCCTTTTTTTTGTTATCCAGGGAATTAAGCAAGTTCAGAGAACTGAACCTGGGTAATTACCCAATTAAACATTCTCCCGGCATTGGGAAATCATGATGCATGGAAAGGACAACACCAGTGGGAGAAAGCAGGAATGCAGAAGGAGACAAGTGCCAATCAGAGGCAAAATCCGAGGCCCTTGTGGCCTGACTATAAATAATTGCTTTTCCTCACGTCCTTGTCACCTCTTCCTAAAATTAGAATTAGCTTCCTGGCCTGAAGGCTAAACCTCACTCCCACACCCTCCTTTCTCACAAAGCAATATTCCCTAATGCAATAAGGTGGTGGGATTTCAACAACAGCAAGAGTTTAGGAGTCAGGTAACTCTTTGCTCAACTCCTGCTTTTCATTTCAGAGCTTTATTAATCTGTGCACCAAGCTTCTTCATCTGAAAAATGGGGATGAGGATGATGATGGTAACAGCTAGTAATCGTAAAACAAGCACTGTGCAAAGTGCTTTACATGCATTATTTATGTAATGGGCAGTATTCATGATTATTACTACTGCAATTGTAGTCCTCCTTTACAGATGAAGAAACTGAAATTCTGAGAGGAGTTAACTTTCCCAAGGTTTAACCTCAATGCCTTAACTCTTGACCCTTTCTACTACTATAATAATAACTGCCTAAACAAGGTATTGAAAGGGTTAACATTAACATATATGGACACACCAATTAATGCTATTGTCATCGCTTTTGATGTTGCTGAGCATGATACTGTTTTTGTTGCTTTTCTCTCTCCCCAGATACTAGCAGTTCTAAGATCAAATAAGCACAGACCATCCACCCATATACTGGCAAGTGTAAACCAATGTCATGGGAACATTTTTGAGCACCAAATAACAAAGCTGATATACCTTTTAGATCTTTCATTATTAAAATATTTCTGTTGAGCATGAATGAGAGAGGAAGAGAAAAAGAAATGGGATTCAGTACTAACTAAAATGATCCCCCATGCCTAAGTTTTTAAAAATTCAGAATAACAAATGAAAGGTACACTGTTCTTACATGTGTCACTTAGATTTCTTAAAATAAAATTATGTATCATATGCTAATTTTTGACTATTCAAACTGCACTTCTGCTTCATTCTTATCTTTTAATTCACTTTTCATTGTAATGAAATAACTGTAATACATGTTTAAACCTCTAACACGCTAAAATGCCAATCAGTTAAACACAATAGCAAGCATTTGGCATACACCTGGAGACTTTCCTAAATAAAATAAAATTATTATTACATTTCATCACTTCCTTTCTTATTGCCAACTAATGTCCCCGTGTCTGAAAGGGTCATTTTCAAGCTACACATCTATTTATAATAGTGTGTTCATTGTCTTCCTTCCTCTGGTGCATTATCTATGACCTTGACCATTTCAGGATGGATAAAATGGTGCCATAAACATATGTTTATGAAGCTCCAGACATCTTGTAAGAGATTTCGTGGTTATTAAAAGCAGCAAAGAGTGACAAGGACAGTTCTATACTATAATACTGCCTGTCAAGAGAAAAATGTCACCCTTACCATAAAGTACCCAGAGGCATAATTAAGAAGTGGCAAAGGGAATGATTTCCTGGGCACAGTAATAACAGGGCTGAGATGAAATCCAGCAGCAATGGAAGCTGCCTTCTCTCCAATGTGCCTGAGTGGAGCCCCAGTCCACACCAAGGGTCCAGGGCATAGTCATGCTCCCACGTCCAAAATGTGGAACATCAAGGAATGCCCAGGACAGCCACACTCATGAAGAGGTGGCAACAAGAATTTCTGGGAGCAAATGAAACATTCTGATGTTTCTGACTTTTCCTAATTGCATCATTATGAAAACTAAAATAATGAATCCTCCTGGGCACCAACTAAGAACATTAAAGAAATTGAAACTTCACAGTTCCTAATGCTCCATACCCATAAACACAGATCCATACAGTCCCCACAGAACTATAAATAAATCCTGCCTGAAGGTCTCCTTCCTGTTCACGTTTCTCCATAAAACTTGGTAGTATCTCTTTCCTTTTATCTTAACTTTTATCCTTGTGATTCCTGTCCATCAAGGACAAGAGGTACAAATAAACGGGGCTCCAGATGTTGCTCAGTTCATCGCAACCCCCCCCTGAAAAAGCCTCCTTTCCCAGGACCAAAGGAATAAAAATAATCCCTGTAAAGTTATGCGCTGCTTTGGGGCCCTTTCTGCAAAATAGGGAGTTCAGTGTATCCCTAGGCATCCTTCCAGCTCAAACATTTTCTAATTCTGGGATGTATGAGGCTGGAGATGACAGGAGTCTCAGGAGCAGCCCCTGCAGCCTCTATCCTAGTCAGGAGCCCCTTCTCAGATTTGGAGGCCCAGCCCCGGCAGCTGTAAGGCCTGGGGCTAGGAGGCTGGCATCTGCCCTCCTCAGAGCCAACATTGGCTTCAGCAGGGGAGCAACCTTCTCTCAAGTGATTTTTCTCACTTACAGAAAAATCCTATCTTCCTCACTTTTACAATCAGTAACATTCACCTGTCAGCACTCACTCCTATCCCAGCTTCTCCACTTAGTAGATGTGTGACCTCTCTGGGCCTCAGTTTCCTCACCAGTAAAAAGAAGACACTAATGACATCAATTGCTGTTGCAAAGATTGAATTGGTTAATGCATGGAATGTGTTAGAACAGTCCCCAGAATACAGGAAACACCGGGTGTATTATTATTACTGCTGGTAGTAGTAGCGTTCTCTCTCACCAACACAAGGGATCCCAACACTACTATCTTTCCCTTATCTTTTCACTTCACTAAGTTTGGAAAGTATGGTTCTGATTCCCACTTTAAGAGCCCCATTGGACTTCACAAAGCCTCCTGCCAGTGCTCTGAGACTTTCCGGGAAGGTTTTCATTTTCTCTTGACAGGAGGCACTCTATGTGGAAAAGTGTCCTTGCCACCTCTACAGTATAAATAACTATCAAATGCAACTAAGAATCATAAACATGTCAGTGATTTGATTCCATGGATTTACATCATAATTGAGATAGTCAAGGTCACAAATAATGGGCTAAAGGAAAACAGCAGCACCATACCAACAATCCTGAATTTTCTCCAACTTTTCTTTAATATGTACTTTTTAGCATTTTAGAGTCCTATAGAGTGCCTATGTTTGAGGAATTAATTCCTCTCTGATAACATATATATTTTGAATAACACCCCAGTTACAGATTGAATCAGGGTGACAACAGGAAATGGCAGAAAAATAATGGTCTAAAATATTCCCAAACCCAAACCTCTTCTATCAGAAAGAGGTGTAGAGCTGTGATGAGTAAGCTACCACATCGCTCACTTCTGCCCACAATATCCAGTAATACTCAAAGGCTGTGGTGTTGAACTAATATTCTACCTACGGTTAAAAAAAAAAAAGATAATAGATCCAATCATTTAAATTATTTTTTGCCCAATATTTGACAACTTTACAAGCTCTAAAATGATATGTTCCAATCACTGAAGGTTTTATTTTATGAGATTCTTTCATTTCAATACATATCATGAACTAATTTATCCTTGTTCACTTTAAATCTAGAGACATTGTTGGACCAGGCAAGGTAGATGTGGTCAGAATCACTGAAATAGAATGATTTACTTAACACTGTGCACATTCTTCATGGGGTGGGGGCACGCATCTTCATAAATAACTGGAAAATCAGAATAATATTATAATAAACAATTTATTTAAAAATTGAATACCTTTACCTTAGTATGGGTGAAGTGGGAGATGTCAGGAGACAAAGTCTTCCTGGTGGTATATTGGTCCAGAGACAACTCTGTTCTCACCCTATCTTCCCCAGTGGAGGGGTCTAGACATGTGCAAGTGGGTGGGGAGGGAAGATGGTGTCCTATCACTACCTCAAATCAGTATACCCAAAACCCAGAATATTGTACAATCTAAGTTCACTCAAGTCTCTTCACTCAAGTTCAAGTGAGGTAACCCATCTCAGACAGTGATGTAATCCATCTTGTACAACATCCAAAGTGTGGTGAGGAGTGTTATCTCTAGACTAACTCATTCCTCGATACTAACTATGGGAGTGGGGCTCAATCCCAGACTTTTGGGAGCCCCATATCTGTGTCCATACCATCAGAGGTCAGTGAGTGACTTCCCCCTGCCATTTTCTTCCTTACATTCTCTTCTTATCTCTCATAGTTCCTCTCTCCCTGAAGTTTCCACTCCTCTGGTGTCCTGGACACATGAATGGATTTTTATTTATACTCATTATCTGCTCCACATGGTTCTGTTGCTAGATGGGGAAGATTAAGATGTCTGTGGGTGGAGGTGCTGGGGGAAGGGTTCCTCACAACAATGTGGTCTCTGAGGGACACCAGGTTAAATCACAAAGGTTAATCTCTTGCTGGTACAATTGTCCTACCTTATCAAGCTAAAGAGGCTCAGCCTCTTTCCCAGCTTTAAGTTGTAGTTCAAAAAGCTGCCTTCAGTTTCCATACTACTCTAGATAAAGTAGCTTCCCCAACCCTCTCTATCCCATTAATTAAATTTACTTTATTCTTAGTATTTAACGTTGGGTAAAATTTATATTGGCTTTTTTCCACACTAATTGTCTCCACGCCGCCCACCCCCCACTCCCTGCCAACCACATTAGAATCTAAGAATTCTGATAACATTTGTATTTTGTATTCACATTCACTAGAATGTGAATATCTTTAGGATATTCACGGCTCTATATGCAATTCCTATAAAAGTGCCTGGCACAAGATAGGTACATTCCAGACCTGCATGCCCAATTGTCTATTGGTTTATCACATGGGCATCTCAATCACAACTTGGACAAAACTGAATTCTGGAAAGCTGTACTTAGAAAACCCATTCTTCCTCCTATATTTTCTACCATCTACCATTTTCCCCAGCTAGAAAACTGTCATCCTTTAATTACTTGTTCCCCTTTCCCTTTCTTCAATTCCCCCACATTCCTAATTCTTCCTCTCCTTCCTCTACATCCATCTCACCTCCCCACATCTAACTGGCGTCCAACTCGTGCCAATTCCTCCTCAATCCTCCCGCTTTCCTACCTTTAAATGTTACCACTTCCGTGAAATCTTTTCCTTACCACTACTGTTAGTAGCTTTGATCTCTGTGCTTCACACCATCGTGTCTCTTCAGTGTTTTTAGGTCCTTTTAGGGTTTCACACTTTTTTGAGATCTGCTACAAATCATGGGCCCAAGAAAATCCATTTGCACTCAGACTTTTACATAAAATGACAGCACTCTATATTTCAAACCCTTTACTGTAACATGCATCATGGTAATTGTGTTATATTTATTTATATATCTGTCTTCTTCACTAGAATGTAAAAAGTTCTAGGACAAGTTTGTACCATGTTATCTTTTTCATAAAACTCCTTTGTGTATAATGCTTAGCACAAGGTACTAAAAATCATCAACTTACTGTCTACTGCAATATTTAGATGTTAGGTGAAGACAGCATCTTCCAAATAGTCATTTGAATATCACCCTCACAATTTTTGCCATATCTGCTACAACCTGTCCTATTATTTACTTAACCATTTGTGTAGATTGTTTGTAAAATCTTTATCAAAGATTATTCCCATTTCTGAACATATGTGTCATTAAACCCCCAAAAAGGTGTTGAGTCTATTTCTCTTCCCCTTGAATCCAGACTCGTCTTGTTACTTGATTTGATCAACAAAATGTAGCCAGAGTAATGCACTGTGACTTCTAGGTCCGGGCCTTAAGAGACTTTGTACTTTTCTTTTTTACTGTCTTTGGAGCCAGCCATGATGTTAAAAAGCTCCACGTGGTCTCTCATCACTGGGAAGTGATGAGACACCACTAAACAGGGAGAGGCTTGACCACCTGCAGCCATTCTGGCCACCTCAGCTACGTTGCCAGACATGTACGTGTCTTAGTCCATTCAGGCTCCTGGAACAAAATACTTTAGACTGAGTAATTTATAAGCAACAGAAATCTATTGTTCACAGTTCTGAAGGCAGGGAAGCTCAAGATCATGGCACCAGCAGATTTAGTGTCTGGTGAAGGCTCTGCTTCATAAATGGAGCCTTCCTGCTGCATGTTCACGTGGCAGAAGGGGCAAACAGGCTCCCTCAAGCCTCTCCTATAAGGGCACTAATTCCATTCATGAGGGCAGAGCCTTCTAAAGGTCTCACCTCTCACATTGAGTCTTCAGTTCCAACATTTGAATTTTGAGAGGACACCAACATTCAGACCACAGCAATGAATAAAGCTATTTTGGTCCTTCCAGCCTCAACCAAACTCTCGAGCCACAGGAATGACCCCAGCAGACCTCATGGAGAGAAGAATTGCCTAGCAGAGCCTAGCCAACCCATAGAATCAAAATAAGTCATTGTTTTTTAAACCAGTATGTTTTGGAAGTAGTCCATACAGCAACAGATAGCTGATGTGATGCCTTTCTTTAAAACATTTTTTTAAACTTAAGTCAGTGTTAAAAAAATTTTTTCTCACTTCCATAAATAGAAAATTACTATCACTTTCCATAAAACTAACCACAATGAAAGAAGAAACAAAGTAATGTTATTTACTTCTAGCCATACTCCTGCCTACAAAAGTCTCTGTGTTCCTTCCAAAGGAATATCCCCAAATGTCAGAGAGATATTAAAGATACACCAGAACTAAATGAGGACTGCCTCCTTGGTGTGAGTTAAGCTAAAAGGAAATGGAATGAAAATAACATGCTCAACTTTGAAATTTGATAGTATTTAATGCTGTCTATCACCAAAAACCATTATCTTGTAAAATAATACAGGTGGTAAGCAACTACTGCAAAAATTGTGAGGGTGTTACTCAAATGACTGATATTTGGAAGATGCTGCATTAACCTAACACCTGAACACTGAGGTAGGTAGGCAAGTGAGTGGTCAGCATTTTTACTACCTTCTATGCATCAGGCACAATGCAAAACAGAAAGGGGTGTGGATAAAATATACAACATAATGTACTGCTGTGCTAGAAGTGCTTGTACTCTAGTGGAGGAGACAGGAGTATAAATAGTTGTAACACATTAACCATGGTAAATGTAACTATAAAAGATTTAAAATACAAAGCCCATGGACTCAGACATTGTCAAGGACATAAAATCCCTGACATTTTGTGCAAATGTTTGAGGATATATGGATATTCTGGGCCCATTACTTTCATTAGATTCTCAAAGTTCATTGGAACACATTCTGTAACATAGGAGACACCAGAATAATTATTGCATGGTATTGTTGGTTCTTGGTTCTTGCCTGGGCGTTCTTCTTTAGTTTGTCATTTTGGAATCATAACTGTGGCCTCCTCTTTGTTCTTTATGATTTTATACTTTTCTCACATAGCTGTATGAAAGTTATCTTTAATTCCCTGATGACCAAACTCCCCTAAAGGTCTCTACCACATTTTAAGCTCTTTGAAGCTAGAGACATACCATACAGCTTCCTGCCTTCTACTATAAACAAACATCTGTTAAATGAAGAATAAACCTTGTAGAACTCCTGCAGGAAGTTTTCCTGCTGTCTAGGACTGATTAAAAATGTTTTCCATTGCTCAGACTATGAACACTGAAAGTGTTTCTAATCTGAAATGTGTACATAATAAAATATTTGGAAAAAGGCACCAAGTTCTTCCTGCAATGTGTTATGTGTGTATATTCACAAACGTCTGTCTGGACTGGCATTTTATGTCTAGGCCTGTTTAGGTCAGTGCTGAATACTTTAAATGGTGTGGGGACTGTGTTTATTTACATACTGCATAAAGCAGCCATTGCAATGTTATTCACACATGGGGCCTCTGGGCTTCTCCCGAGCATGAAAGTGCTGCTGTTGACATTTATGCTTTTCTCAGTATTTCTTCTTTTATCCTATTCTTCCAACATAGCAATTTTGTCTTCCTCTGGAACTGAAATTCGGTGAAAAATATAGGCCTCTAAAATGTTAGTACTTTCATCCTTATTTTTTTCAAATTTTTTAGCTATGCTGTGAACTAAATGAGCTGAAGCCTCCACTATTCAAAGTTCTTCAAGGTTTGACATTTAAATTTATTCTAAAATAGTTTTTGCATGAAAAACCAAGAAAGGGAGGATTGTGGTTTTTACCTTGGCATGGAATTTTATGAGTGGGATAGAAACAGAGTAGTGGTGTTGAAGCTGTCTGCAGGATTTACTGGCACTGATTGGGAACAGGAGCGGCCCAGTCTCCAAACAAGCCCATAATTCATATGACTAATTCTAGCTTTTGCCTTAAGCCTCCACCCCAGCCCCCACCCCGCCACACACACAATCAGCATATATGGAAATGTTAATAAAGTCATCATCTTATTCTCTTCAAAATGACTGATTCTTATCACACCCATGCCTCAGCATTTCCAGGTGGGAAGGGGGCCTTCAGGACAAGAGGTTGCAAAGGGAAGCAAATTCAAGTGAGAAACCCTGCAAAACTTTCTGGGAGGTGACAGAATTAAACATCTCTCATTCCGAGACGTGTTCTAGTAGGCATGCTTCTGAGCCATAAGAGCATCCATATTATGGCTTTGAAAATATTTTATATACACATTCTCAAACACTCTAAAACTTTATTTTTTCTAAATTCTTTTTAACCTCTTCTGTTTTTAAGGCAAGTTTAAGATTCATCGAAATATATTCTTTGGTTAAGTGATTCCTATTTCAATATGTGAAACACCATTTTCATCCATCTATATACCTCTGAACCTTTTTAATAATGCCTCATTATAATTAAGAGTTCAGACTGGTTAGCCATAACATGACAATCATCTACAGAGACTTAATACACTATGTATGTATAACAGAAAACACCTACTACTTGGAGTGTACAGCTCACCTAATATAAAGTAGCAGATTTTAAGGGGAATGCATTTTACAGTGACTGCCAGATGCATGCCAAAGCCCCGCCTCCAGCGGCCCAAATAATCATTGCAATGACAGCCCTGGGAACAGCAGGGAGAGTTGTTTTCAGGCTAAACCCTCACAATTTTTCTCTTACAGCTCCTTCCAAAAGGGAACAAAGCAGCTCTGCGTGTGTGTGTGGGTGTGTGTGTGTGTGTGTGTGTATACGCCCCTACACATGTGTGTATGTTTTCTGTTTTGAGTGTAGAAAGTACTAGAAGTAGATAGTAGATAGTGCCTGAGATGCCAACATAGGCAAATGAAGAAGGTGGAGTAGATATGGAGAGGATTAGCCCAGAAGTCCTACAATGGCTTTTTCCAGGTTCAAAAAGTCTCTGATTGGGGCAACTGAATGTGCACATAAACCCTGCTTCTCCCCAAATATAATGAGCAAAAGGGAAAAGCGGAGTGCTGACTTAAAGATGGAGGAGGATGAGCAGACAGCAAAATGTGGTCAGAGTGCGGTCCCTCAAAGGTTATGAGGAGAGAAGGCTCCCCAGTGCTCCAAGCCCCTTCTCAGCAAATGGGGCAAAGGCCATGTGCACATTGTACACACCTGGAGCTCCCCTCCATCTGGTAAAAGGCAACCCTGTGCACCTGAATGGACATCAAATCTCTGAAGAGACTGATCTAACATTTATCAGTGTGTGACCTTATGTTAATGGCTAAGCTGGTCTCAGCTCAAGATTTTTTAAACTGCAGAATGGACATAAATGCAATGCTATGTTACCAAAAGAAAGTGGTGAGGACAAGAAGAAAGGCCTGGAAAGAGCCCATGTCTGTGTGTGCCCATGAGGGGAGAGTGAGAGGGCTGGCCTTTCATGCAGCACACTGGTGCACATGGCACAAGAACCACGGACCACACTTTCATCTGTCAAATGTACTAACTGCCAGCAAGAGGCCTGATGAGCCAGAGTGGGTGCCTATGTTCCAATCCATGTATATATCTCTGTGTCCAAACACCTACCGTGTCTCCTCCTGTAGCCATGGTTGAATAGCTCAGGCTCTGAGCTAAGACCCATCCTGCCCCTTGTGCACTGGTGCCCATCCTTCTTACCGACTTAAAGACATTGCTCCAGCAATTGTCCACCTGCTCTTGTATCATCAAGTTGTTATTCTCTACTGGATCATTCCCAGCATACAAATGTGCTGTCATAATTTCTTCCACTTGAAAGATTCTTTAAAACTCTCCTGGCTCCACATCCTCCTTCAGATATGACCCTATTTCTCTTCCCTTTTAGAGTAAAACTCCTCTAAAGTGTAGTCTCTACTCTGCCTCCAGTCCAACTACTCCCATTCCTTCTGGAATCCATTCCAAATAGCTTTCATCCTCATTACTTCATCAAAATAGTTCTTGTCAAAGTCATCAATGACCTCCCTGTTGCTACATCCAATAGTCAGTTCTCAGGCCTCCTCTCCCTCACGTTGTCAGCAGTACCTGGCACACTACATCACTCCGTCTTTTTTTTTTTAAACTTTCTTCCTTTTAAAACAAAAAAAATTTGGAGAGAGGGTCTTGCTCTGTTGCCCAGCCTGGAGAGCAACAGTATGCTCATGGCTCACTGCATTTTCTTTTCATTTATTTATTTTTTATTATACTTTAAGTTGTAGGGTACATGTGCACAATGTACAGGTTTGCTACATATGTATATATGTGCCATGTTGGTGTGCTGCACCCATTAACTTGTCATTTACATTAGGTATTTCTACTAATGCTATCCCTCCCCCTTCCCCCCACCTCACGACACGCCCGGATGTGTGATGTTCCCCTTCCTGTGTCCAAGTGTTCTCATTGTTCAGTTCCCACCTATGAGTAAGAACATGTGGTATTTGGTTTTCTGTCCATGCGACAGTTTGCTGAGAATGATGGTTTCCAGCTTCATCCATGTCCCTACAAAGGACATGAACTCATCCTTTTTTATGGCTGCATAGTATTCCATGGTGTATATGTGTCACATTTTCTTAATCCAGTCTATCATTGATGGACATTTGGGTTGGTTCCAAGTCTTTGCTATTGTGAATAGTGCTGCAATAAACATACATGTGCATGTGTCCTTAGAGCAGCATGATTTATAATCCTTTGGGTATATACCCAGAAATGGGATCGCTGGGTCAAATGGTATTTCTAGTTCTAGATCCGTGAGGAATCACCACACTGTCTTCCACAATGGTTGAACTAGTTTATAGTCCCACCAACAGTGTAAAAGTGTTCCTATTTCTCCACATCCTCTCCAGCACCTGTTGTTTCCTTTTTAATGACTGCCATTCTAACTGGTGTGAGATGGTTATCTCATTGTGGTTTTGATTTGCATTTCTCTGATGCACAATGATGATGAGCATTTTTTCATGTGTCTGTTGGCTGCATAAATGTCTTCTTTTGAGAAGTGTCTGTTCATATCCTTTGCCC